>NW_025791786.1:0-207371 GCF_000001405.40 Homo sapiens
ATTTAGGAAAAGATCTAGAGAAGTCAAGGTGGGGCCCGGAGGGGATGGGATCAGGGTCCGTGGGAAGCAAGTTCATGTCTTTGCACCGAGGATGGACAGGAGTGTGGAGTGTGGGAGGGAAGAGGAGGAGGAAGCAGCCGAGGGGAGCTGGAGGGGAGGGGTGAGAGGAGGGGCTGGAGGAAAGCCTGGGGTTGTGTGCAGGGACCCACAGAGGACTCAGGTGAGTGAGACCGCAGGCAGGCCGTGAACAGCCCCAATCCCACGACAGAGGCAGCCAAACCCTTTCCCAAAGATGTTTTATAGAGACCTGGCGGGGCAGGGGGGGACTTTGGTCTTTTTCAGACACAGAAGTTCCTTCTGTGACTGAGGGTAAGTGTCTTAGCCTCCTGCCTCAGTTTCCTCATTGCATAACAGGACTGTTTCAGTGTCCACACTCAGAGTGTGAGGGCTAGATGAGGAAATGCACGTGCAGTAGGATGCCACCTGTCTTTGGAATGTCTGCATGTCAGGTGCCCCAGCCCTCAGGATCCAGGACAGGTCTGGCTGCGGTGGGTGCTGGATGGATGCTGAGGAGGGGAGGGACAGTCACTGCATACCAGCCTCTGCCAAAATGGGGAGCCCAGGGGCAGGAGTAGACAGGAAGGACTTCCTGGAGGAGGAGGGCTGGCAGTTTGGGAAGATTTAGATGGGGAGAAAGTGGGGCAAGGGCATGGGGGTGGGAAGTCTGGGAAAAGATGTCCTGGCAGGGTGGAGGGGAACGGAAGTTACGATGGTAGTGGGGAAAAGCATCTGCCCAGGAGCCAATGGTGCAAACACAGTGTGTGTGTGTGTGTGTGTATGCACACCCGTGTGCACAAGCACCTCCACCGCTTTCCCAGCCTCCTAGCCAGAGCCCTGGGGCTCAGCTCAGGCCCTTACCCCCAGCCCCACCCGACCACAGGCTTCACAACCAGAGGCCAAGACCCCGGCAAATGCACATCCCCTCGTCCCTCTCTGTCCCAGCCCCACTGCTCTCCCAGAGCCTGCTGCCATCCCCTCTCTGTCCTCCAGGCCTTGGGTCCTCCACACCCTCCTGCTGCCACCTGGATGCCCCAACCTCCCGTGGACTGTTGGGGTCTCCCAGGGGCCCCCGCACTTCTGTCTGTATGGCTCTTGTCCACTCTGCCCGGCTGACACCTCCGGCCACCCGAGACTGCTCGAATGCCCAGCACCCCACACAGCTGGCACCTCCTCTGCAGACCGCAGCCTGGGAGAGAGGGGAACCCACGGGCCTGTGAGTCTTTCAGATCCTGGTAAACAGTAGGAGCACGGGAAATATTCTGGAGAGAAATCGCCGCCCTCAGCTCCAGTCCCTTGTTCCAGCCTCCTGCTGGGTGCCCGGGGGGAGCGGACGTGATGCAGCTCTCCACCCAGTACCTGGTACCCAGCTCCGTGCGGAGCACGGGGGCCAGCCCTGAGGACTCCTACTGACCTGCAGGTTCGCGGTCCAGAGACGGGGCAGCTCACAGGCAGGGGACGCAGCTCTGACATCCTCAGGTGTTGGAGCTGGGGCCAGGAGGTCATGGAGCTGCAATCCCAACTCAAGGACTGGTTGAGCACTGGCACTGCCCAATAAAGGCCCCTGGTTGAGACTGTGGGTAGGGCCAGGGCTCAACGTGTATCAGGAGTGACCAGGGCCAGGGCTCAGATTGTGTTGAGGCCAGGGCTCAACGTGTATCAGGAGTGACCAGGGCCAGGGCTCAGATTGTGTTGAGGCCAGGGCTCAACGTGTATCAGGAGTGACCAGGGCCAGGGCTCAGATTGTGTTGAGGCCAGGGCTCAACGTGTATCAGGAGTGACCAGGGCCAGGGCTCAGATTGTGTTGAGGCCAGGGCTCAACGTGTATCAGGAGTGACCAGGGCCAGGGCTCAGATTGTGTTGAGGCCAGGGCTCAACGTGTATCAGGAGTGACCAGGGCCAGGGCTCAGATTGTGTTGAGGCCAGGGCTCAACGTGTATCAGGAGTGACCAGGGCCAGGGCTCAGATTGTGTTGAGGCCAGGGCTCAATGTGTATCAGGAGTGACCAGGGCCAGGGCTCAGATTGTGTTGAGGCCAGGGCTCAACGTGTATCAGGAGTGACCAGGGCCAGGGCTCAGATTGTGTTGAGGCCAGGGCTCAACGTGTATCAGGAGTGACCAGGGCCAGGGCTCAGATTGTGTTGAGGCCAGGGCTCAACGTGTATCAGGAGTGACCAGGGCCAGGGCTCAGATTGTGTTGAGGCCAGGGCTCAACGTGTATCAGGAGTGACCAGGGCCAGGGCTCAGATTGTGTTGAGGCCAGGGCTCAACGTGTATCAGGAGTGACCAGGGCCAGGGCTCAGATTGTGATTGAGGCCAGGGCTCAACGTGTATCAGGAGTGACCAGGGCCAGGGCTCAGATTGTGATTGAGGTCAGGGCTCAATGTGTATCAGGAGTGACCAGGGTCAGGGCTCAGGAGGTAAGGGAGCTCAGGGTGCTCTCTGAAGTTAGGCCTCTTAGTGACCATCTTCAGCTGGATCTTGCTGGACCAGAAGCCAGAGCTTTGACCCCACAGGTGTGCCCTACCTGGGCCCTGGAGGGGCAGGTCAGTCTTTCTTGAGTGCCATCCTTTCACCCATGTTTTAAGCCTCCTGTTGACAAGGATCTGGACACAGGATTACATTCCAAGTCCTTGCTCAAAGCCTGAGCCGTCTCCACCCCATCAGCCACGTTGGTTGTGTCCCTGACCCGGACCCGGCCTCCCCTGCAGACCCTCGGGGCTCCCTCCCTAATCCCACCCTTCTGCACGCACCTGGGCCAGGACATGGGCAGTCACAGCTGACAGATTGTTTAGGGGATCAGGAAGCCGGTGGGTGTGCAGCAGATGCCTGTGTGGACATGCACACATGCACACTCATGCCCGCTTCCAGGCAGGAAGACCGGAGGCTGCACGTGGGCAGCGGCGGGTGGTGGTAGTCCTTGACCAGGGTGTGAGTCCAGTTTGTCTTCAACCTGGTGCTGGGAAGTGGGGTTGGGGAGGGTGTGAGGCATCCTGGGGTCCTTGGTGGGTTAGACTCCTGAAACCCAGCAGGTTTCTTGTGTCTCTGAGCCTCAGTTTCCCCTTCCCATAGCTTGGGAAGAAGAGACTGGCATCTCCCCAGGGTTCCTATGTGGGTGACACAGATCAACGTGTCAATGGTTTCCTCACTGTCCCTATCTGACCGCATGGCCCTGCCTGTCTCTCCTCCTCCCTGGAGCCCATGTTTGGGACTTCCACATTTGGTCCCTGAGCCTTCATGGAGTAGCTCCTCTGTGGGGAACCCTGGACCAGGTGCAGCAGGGAGTCGGGAGAGAGCAGATGGACTCCCTGCACTGATGGGGCTCACGGGGCCCTGGGAGAGAGTATCAACTTGGATGGTGACGATCCAGCAGGGCCACAGCTGAATGGAGGTGAGGACGAGGGCCCACGGGGCTTGGGGCACAGTGGCTGCCTCTGCTCAGAGACAGCTTCCCAGACCACACGGCGGCCCAGCTGTGTGTGGGAGGCATAGGAGCTCTCCTGAGGAAAGGCATGGGAAACAGAGGGAATAGCAAGTGCGAAGACCTGGTATGGAAGTAAGAAGTGACCGGAGTGTTGCTTGGGGGTGGTGAGCAGGAGGCAATGCATCAGGCAGGCGGAACCCTGCCCCTCCCAGGCTGACCCCAGCCAGACGGGGAAGGACCTGGGTCCCTGCTGTGGGTGGTGAGTCCCATACATGTCCCTGCCCACCCTGTCATCCTGCAGGGAGCAAACTGATCCCAGAGGGGGTGCCCAGCCCACGCCGTGCAGCACCGCAGGGGGAACCCAGCGTGATAGAGAGCAGTGTCTTAGACCTGGCTCCAGCGCCGAGGCTGCGGCCCAATCGAGGCCGGGTCCTTCCCCTCGAGACTTCAGCCTCGGCTCTCCTGGACTTCAGGGTGACATCACCAGGGTGTTGGGGGTCTTCTGTGATCCTCCTACGAATACTTCTTTTTTTTTCTTTTTAGAGACAGGATCTTGCTCTGTTGCCCAGGCTGGAGTGCGGTGGCATGATCACAGCTCACTGCTGCCTCAACATCCTGGGCTCCAGCAATCCTCCCGCCTCAGCCTGCTGAGTAGCTGGTACTACAGGGGTGTACCACTAGGCCTGGCTAATTTTTAAAAATTATTTATAGAGACAAAGTCTCCTATGTTGCCCAGGTTGGTCTTGAACTCCTAGGCTCAAGCAATCGTCCCGCCTCAGGCCCCTGAGTAGCTGGGTCTATGGGTGGGCACCACTATGCCTGGCTAATTTATTTACTTATTTTTGTAGAGACGGGGTCTCACTATGTTTCTCAGGCTAATCTTGAACTCCTGGGCTCAAGTGATCTGCCTGCCTCAGCCTCCCAAAGCACTGGGATTACATGTGTCAACCACCGTGCCCTACCCACTTCTGTTTTATTATTGTTATTATTATTTAAGATGGGATCTCGCTGTGTCACCCAGGCTGGAGTGCAGTGGCACGATCTCAGCTCACTGCAACCTCCACCTCCCAGGTTCAAGAGATTCTCCTGCCTCAGCCTCCTGAGTAGCTGGGACTACAGGTGTGCGCCTCCACGCCCAGCTAATTTTTTGTATTTTTAGTAGAGACAGGGTTTCACCATGTTGGCCAGGCTGGTTTTGAACTCCTGACCTTGAGTGATCCGCCCACCGTGGCCTCCCAAAGTGCTAGAATTACAGGCATGAGCCACCGTGCCTAGCCTGTTTTTTTTTTATTATTTTTAAAATTTTATTTATTTATTTATCGAGACAGGGTCTTGCTCTGTCGCCCAGGCTGGAGTGCAGTGGTGCAATCTCAGCCCACTGCAACCTCTGCCTCCTGGGTTCAAGCAATTCTCCAGCCTCAGCCTCCCAAATAGCTGGGATTACAGGTGCCGGCCACCACGCCCGGCTAATTTTTGTATTTTTAGTAGAGACAGGGTTTCACTATGTTGGCCAGGCTGGTCTTGAACTCCTGACCTCAAGTGATCTGCCCGCCTTGGCTTCCCAAAGTGCTGGGGTTACAGGTGTGAGCCACTCCTGGCCTCACTTCTATTTTTCAAACCGAGGGTGATGCTTAACCCAAGAGTAGGTGCTGTCAGGCCGAAACATCTGTTCTGGTCCTTGGCTGGCTTTCCCAAGGCCCTGAGTGTCCTAGGGCCTTGTGACTTCCTCTGTGAACTGGAAAACAGCCCCCAACTCCAGTCCCTGCCTGGCTAGGCTTGCCTGAGCAGAGCAGAGGTGAGAGGCAGGAAAGATCCAGCAGCCTCAGAGCTGTGAACGGTGCCAGCCCCGTGATTGACATGTCAGCCGCACTAATAGTATCGCTTCATCTCTCCAGACTCTCCCTTTCCCGGTTTGTCCACTGTTCTGTTTGGAAATAAGGTTGTGCCCTTAGTCATACCTTGATAAGAAGGGAGACGCCCCTGCCTGCCCTCTCTCTTCTGTTCCACCTCCTCTGCCGAACGTTCAGGAGCTCCTCATTCAAAAGACCGTCAGATGAAATGTTTGCTAGAGATAACACTGTGAAGCATTTAGAAACACCTTGCACCAGCCTACTTCTTAAATACTTGTTAAAAACGAGATCACACCCCAAATAGAGTTTCATAGAATATACCTTTTTTATTTTTCATTATTTTTTGAGATGGAGTCTCACTCTGTTGCCCAAGCTGGAGTGCAGTGGCGCAATCTCAGCTCACTGCAACCTCTGCCTCCAGATTTCAAGTGATTCTCCTGCCTCAGCCTCCCAAGTAGCTGGAATTACACGCATGTGCCACCACACCTGGCTAATTTTTGTATTTTTAGTAAAGACATGTTTTCACCATGTTGGTCAGGCTGGTCTTGAACTCCTGACCTCAAGTGATCTGCCCACCTTGGCCTCCCAAAGTGCTAGGATTACAAGCATGAGCCACCGTGCCTGGCCTCTTTTTTAAATCCAGTTTTTATTCAGCAGAATGTTCCGAAAGATCCAGAGGGTAACATGTGGGCAAAGTCCCTGAGCCCTGGCTGGGGTGGCCTGGGTGGGGTTGCCTTCCTCCGACACCCAACTCATGTGGGCCCTGGGCGCCCAGCACCGGGTTCCTTCCCCCCAAACCCATCTCATCTGGACTCTGGGCACCCAGCGCCGGGTTCCTTCCCCCAGGCCTTGAGCCTGGCTTTGCAGCTCCTGCTGCCCCAGGGCAGGTGGTGGTGGCCGCCCAGCCCTCACCCAGCCCCGAGTCCTGTGTGGAAGGCGATTCCTCCCACTTTACCGGGGAGGACACAGAGGCTGAGCGTGGTCACGGCCGGAGCCCCAGCGCAGCATCTGAGCTGCAGGCTGGCCGCCCCCCACCCCGCTGCACCCCCATATTCCACTCACAGACCTTCTTCCTGCTGAACACAGCTGGGCCCTGACGCCTCTGTGCCTTGGCCACAAGGCACCTTCTGCTCACTCAGCTGTCCCTCCAGTCCCCGTAGGGCTGCAGACCCAGGCCCACCCAGTCACAGGCCTGGCAGCGAGGGGGAACAAAAGGGTCAAGGGGCCGCCCAGGGCTGGGAAGGGCCTTGCTCCACCTCGCTCTCCTCCATTCCCCGTGTGGGCCTCCGTCTCCCATTCTGTGAAATGACCCGTTTGGGCCACAGGGTCCCCAAGTCCTCTTGGCTTGGGGCCGTCTGTTCCAAGAGGAGGGGCCATATTGGTCCTTGAGGCCCCTGCGGCCCAGTAAGTCTGCAGTGAGGCCTCCCTGGACGTATATATCAACAAAAAGTCAAACTCCGTAAAGTGTTTGAGACATTTATTCTGAGCCAAAGATGAATGGCCGGGGGCCCATGACAGCCCCAGGAGACCCTCAGACCATGTGTTCAAGGTGGTCGGGCCACAGCTAGGTTTCATACATTTTAGGGGGACACAAGGCATCAATCAATACACATAAGCTGTACATTGGTTACGCCTAGAAAGGCGGAACCACCGGAAGCGGGGATGCTTCCAGGTCATAGGTGGATTCGAAGATTTTCTGATTGGCCGTTGGTTGAAAGAGTTATTGTCGGTAGATAGGAATGTCTGGGTTAAGATAATGGGTTGTGCAGACCGAGGTTTCATCATGCAGATGAAGCCTCCAGGCAGCAGACTGCAGAGAGAATGGATGGGAGATGTTTATTATCAGACTGAAAGACTGTTCTGCCAGTCATTCCAAAAGGGAGGGGGGATAACAAGGTATGTCCGTCTCCCGCTTCCCACCGTGGCCTGAACTCGCTTTTCAGGTTCACTTTGGAATGTCCTTAGCCAAGACGAGGGTCCGTTCGTTTGGCTGGGGGTCTTAGGATTGATTTTCTGGTTTCCATATGCAATGGGAGTGGGGGAGAGATGGGGTGGGGGCAGCCTGAGGCTCAGCCCTGGCCAAGGAAGCCCCCTCCAGGCATTGGCCAGGTTCTGACTCCTACAGTGTTACAGCCGGCAGGGAACTTGGACCCACAAGCTCCTCCCCTCCCCAAGCCTCAGTTTCCTTGTTTGTAAGATGATGCCTGGGGTCCTTGCTTCCTTGTAGGGCTCAAACAAGATCCCAGGCTCTATTAGGAACAGTGCCAAGGCAGGGGGCCCCCAACAGCTCAAGCAGGCTGGAGTTTGGTGCTCACGGAGTAGGGGAAGCTGGTGGCTTCTCAGGCTCATGACATTGTCCCTGCAGGGTGCAGGGCTATTCCCTGGTGGGGCTGGGGGTGTGTGTGGCCATTGGCAGGAGCCCCGATGTTCTCATCCATGAGTCAGCAGAGATGGGAACATCAATTTATTTGAGTGGCTGGTGCAGCCGAGTCCTTGGAGGACAAGGAGTTTTTGCCAAGCCTGGGCCGAATGTGCCAGGGCTTGGGGCAGGGAAACTGTGTCCAGGGACACAGCTTCAAGGGCCCCTGGTTGATGTCCCCAGGGCCTGCTGAGTGCCAGGCCCTGGGACTCAGAGAGGACACCACCCGATGCAGGCCCTGGGACTCAGAGAGGACACCACCGGATGGAGCTGCCCAAAGGGAGTGCCAGTCGGATGTGGGGGTGGGGGAAGAGGAGGGACCAGGATGTGACGGGTCCGAGGTCTCACGGGGTGCCCAGGTGGGCTGGATTTACAGAGCATGGGCGGCCTGCAGGACCATGAAGGGGCAATGGGGGCAGAAGACAGAGGTTGGAGGCAGGGTGGCATGGAGGGTCTCGGGGCAGGGGCAGGAGGGTCTCCAGGGTGGTCAGTCTGCTGCAGTCAGCAGAGGGCACTGGAGGGGCCTGGGCTCAGGCTCCAGGTAGAGCTGACCTAGCCCAGAATGGGCAGGTGAGGGAAGGCCACCGCCTGGTGGGCTTGGCTGTCCCCTCACCTGGACCCCATCGCCGGCCTCTTCCTTGCACGGGGTAGATGCTCATTGATGTGGTGACGTCTAGCAGGAGGATGGCCCTGGGCAGGGCTGTGAGCTGGGAGACCTGGGCTGGGATCTCAGCTTTGGGCCCACACACTGGGATGGAGGAGTGTTTACTGCTGTCTCTGAATGGCTGCAGGAAGGCTGAGGGGGCACATGGTTGATGGGCCAGGCCACTCTGGGCACAGTTGCTGAGAGTCGGCTCTTCCTAAGTGGGGGCACCCGGGGTGGTGGAAGGGAGTCAGATGCCAATTCCCAATGGGTCCTGGTGGTCGTGCCCTGCTGCAGGGCCTTGGCACCCGCCGCCATAGCCATGGAGTCCAGGGGGGCCCCCAGGGGCTGGAAAGGCAGGGAAACAGATTCTCCTTGGGAGCCTCCAAGGAAGCCAGCCCTGGCTAGCACGTCTGTGCTCTGTCTCTGGCTTTGCCTGTTCTGGACATCTCTGGAGGTGTGAGCACCATGTGGCCTTTCGTGTCTGGCTTCTTTCACTTAGCACGGTGGCTTCAGGTCCCTCCGCATTATCGCATGTGCCAGTGCTTTGCTCCTTTTTACACCTGAGTAATCGTCCACTGTGGAGTCATCCTTTCAGCTGCTGAGAGATGCGTGGGCAGTTTCCACCTGCAGCCATCGTGAGTAGTCGGGTGAGGCTGCTGAAGCAGACGAGTGAGGGCACTGCCCGGGCCATTTGGGCTGGAGCGGGGGTTTGAACTCCTCTTTGTGGGACGGAGGCTGTGTTCTTGCCCACACCTCTCCCTGCTCCAGGCCTGTCTTCCCCTTGGGACTGGGACTATGACTTGGTGGCTTCAGCCTCCGCAGGGTGAGCCTGATCCTGAGAGTCAGGCTGGGCTGAGGAGGACGGGTGGGCCTCCTGGGGGAGGTGACGACTTCGGACTGGACCTTGCAGGAGGGATGGGCTGTCTGAGGATGGGAGATGGGAGGAGGTATTGCAGGTTGGGCAGCAGGTGAGGCTGAGCTGGGAAGGGAGGTGGTTGAGGCTGGTTCTTGGGCTGAGTGCTGGGGAGGGGTCGGCCGGGGATCACCGAGAGGTCCCTCCAGGCTGCATGAGCAGAGGAGACACCCTACGGGTGATCTTCTTGCCTTTGTTTCTAGAATTCACAAATCCTACAATTCTAAGCTCTCAGAACCCTTGGATCTGAAGGTTCTCAAATGCTAAGGTTTCTAGATGTTAGCAGACGAAGGTGTCAAGACGCATGGGATCTACGATGCAGAGTTCTGAGTGGGGATATGCGTCCCCCACCCCGACTCACCCCACGACACATATCAGTAACAGCCTCTGCAACTCCGCCTTGGTGCCCCCGCACGTTCCAGGGGCAGCCACACTGATGGATTGCTCAGAACGGGCTGGAGGTGAGATGTGTTTGCCCGGAGCCCCCACACACTGTCGTCTCCAGCTGTGCCTGTCCCTCCCCACCTTCCACTCTGTGTCTCTTCCCTGCCCCCCTTGTGCCCCAGCCCCAGCCCCCCCTGTTCTTTCCTGCCACCCAATCCTGTGCCCCACGACAAGGAGGCTGAGCCCAGGGATGGCCAGGAAGGAACCCCCGGCAGGCTCTCAGGGTGGGAGAGAGGTTGTGGGGATCAGGGGCTTTGCAGAAGGGACAGGGAGGCAGCCCAGAGCACCCCAGCTTCTTGGCCAGCAGCAGGTAACCTGGCTGGAGGGCGGGGCCCCCATGGGCCATCCCTGGGCCAGCTGCCCAGGGCTACCAGGAAGGCAGCTTGTTTTGTAGGAGGTCAGGCAGCGCCCTAACCCCACCTCTTGTCTTCCCTGATGTCACACCCCAGGGTCAGCCCCTTGGGCCAGAATGGGGGTGATGGTGGGAACCGGGAAGCTGAGAGAACAGGGAGGAGGCCGGGTGGGGCACACCAGGCTGTGGCTGTGGGGATGGGGAGATTCCTCGCCTGGGCAGGCCGGGCAGCAGCGGGGCAGTCCTGGGGGGTGTGGTAAATGCTTCTGCTCTCTTCCCCTGACTACATGGGAGCCTCCGTCCCACCTCACCTGGAAAAGGGGCTTGGAACTGGGCTGCTCGGCCTTGGGCACACCAAACGGGGCCCTTGGAGCCCTGGGCTTCCTGGGGTGGCTGGGTCCCCACCCTGCCTCTGATCCATCCTGAGTCTGCATTTCTTCTCCAGGTGCCCCCTGCCCTTGGCCTCCCACCACGGCCTGGGAGTAGATAGTGGGCTGGGGCAGGCCCAGCGCTGTCCTCTGTGGGAAAGGAGGACTCTGGGCCTGGAAATAGTTGAGTGTGGACAGAAATAACCCTGACTGGCCTCAAAACAGAACATGGAAAATTAAATAGGGAACATTAGCATTCACCCCGCGCTTGCCACAGCCACTGTCCCATTTGGGAGGCGGGCGCGCTTATCCTCATTTAGAGACAGGGAAACTGCGGCCCAGAGAGGGGAGGTGACCTTCCTGAGGTTCCTCTGCCAGCCGGCCAGGCCCTGTGACCCCTGTGCCTCTGTGCTTCCACTACACAGCCGCATCTCCACTTCTGCCCCGACAGTTCCTGCTGCAGCAGATGCCCTTCCAGATGCAAACTCCTACGCATCCTTCAAAACCCAGCTAAATGTCACTTCCTCCGGAAAGCCTTCCCCACCTCTCTAGCAGGCAGTTGAGCCCAGCTTACATTTCCGACAGGCCCTCACTGCCCGGGATTGCAGCTGCGGGCTCCTTGAGGGCAGGGATTGTCCCTCATTCATCCTGATTCCATGCCAAGGCTTATAGTAGGTGCTCAATAAATGCTTGCTGAATGATAGATGGGCTGTGTGTGGTGCTAAGTTGAATGCCTTGTCCCTTTCCCACAATTTCATCTCAACCACCCAAGAATTTAGCGTGAGTATGGCTGTTTTACTAAGGAGCAAACAGGCTTACAGAGGTGAACTCACCTGCTCCAAGGTCACACAACAGTCAAGGGCTGGACCTGGGATTTGGTCCCAGCCCCGCAAACACAGCCCCACTACGTACCTAGCATGGGCTCAGGTAGGCCCTAGGGGTGGGCAGTGTATCTGACCACTCGTCCTGTCCACCTTCCCCTGCACCTGTGGCCCCACGGACCCCTGGGCTGGCTCTCAGGTGTGGCATCTCCACCTTCCCCCACAGGCCCAGAACCCACCCTGCTGGGCCAGCATCGTCTCCCAAGGGCTCCCACACAGACACAGTGGGAGCCCCTTCCCTCAGGCTGGCCCCCAACTTGTCCCCTTAGAGGGGTCGTTGGTAAGCACTGTGGCCTGAGGCTTCCTCTGTGAGAGACTTGTGGGGGTCATGCCACAGGGGAAGAGGGAAGTGAATGGATAGAAGGTTCTAGAACTATTAGCTATTGCAGGGACAAGATATGAAGAAAGGATTTCAAATCCTGGTTTAAAGAATCAGCCAGGCACAGTGGCTCATGCCTATAATTATAGCACTTTAGGAGGCTGAGGCAGGAGGATCCCTTGAACCCAGGAATTGGAGACCAGCCTGGGCAACATGTTGAGACCCCATTTCTACTAAAAGTAAAAAAAAAAAAAAAAAAAAAAAAAAAGATCTGACTATGGTTCCATGTGCCTGTAGTCCCAGCTACTGTGGGCATTGGGGTGAGGGTGGCTGTCGCTTGAGCCCAGGAGGTCAAGGCTGCAGTGAGCTGTGATTGCACCACTGCACTCCAGCCTGGGCGACAGAGCAAGACCCTGCCTCAAAACTAAAAACAAACAAAAAGAATCAAGGTTCTGGGGTTCTGGAGTTGTTTCCATCTTTCCGGCCTCCCGCAGTCCAGCAAAGGCCTATGGGTGAGGCAGAGCAAGTGCTGGAGAAGGTGGCAGCAGGTGGCCTGCGGGCCAGTGGACAGGAAGGAAGTGAGACAGCTGGCAGGCGACTCGGAGCCCGGGAGCGGGAGTGGGCTGGAAAGACCCCTGGCCTGGCCCTGCCTTGGCTCCCCAGAGGGTGTCAGGGCCCAGTGGCCACACTGCCCGCTCCCTGGGGCCCCCTGACAGGAGTTCCCACCGACCTCTCCAGGAATCTGGGGCCCGGGCCTTGTGCCCACCTGCCAGGCCAGTCCACCCTCAGCTGAACCACAGTGGGGCAGATGGATACACAGGCAGGGGCGTGGCCCAGCTGTCGGGCCAGGGTCTACTGGACACTGTCACTGTCTCCCTCTGTCCCTACAGGTGGGGCCTGTCCCCTCTGCCTGACCCAAGGGGCCAGAGACCGCCGAGTGACACACACCCAAGCACTCTCTCCCTTGCCACCGGCTTTGGGGCAGGTGCCAGTGATCTGGTTGGCAATGCTCAGGACTGCCTGTCAGGACATCTGAGCCCTCAGGCTGGTTTCTCACTCCTGCCCACACAGCGGTCTCGGCTGCCAGGCTGTGTGACTCGGGGTGGGGGGCTCTGACCTCTCTGGGCTCACAGGTGATGAATGAGGTTTTTAACCTGAGGACCATGGATGGCCGTGGGGGCTCTTGGCTCCCCCGACAAGTGCAAGTGCAGCCTGTCATCCAGAAGGAGAGGCAGCTCCCCAGCTGCCCCCTGACCCCTACACAGCTGCCCAGCCCCAGCCCCACTGCTCTTCGCTGGGGTGACTCCAGACAGGGCATTTTCTGTCTCCCTGCATGCTCCCCACCCATCTCTACAACAGGGAAAACAGTTTCGCTCTGCAAGGCAGCACACCACCTCGGGACCTGGAGAGAAGGCGAAGGTGAGGAGTGGGCTCTGCCCCGAGCTGTGTGCCCCGGGCAGAGTGAGGGCTCACTTCGCTGAGCCTCAGCCTCCTTCTGCTTGGGAGGAGGGCATTATAAGAACCCCTCCTGTCCGGGTATACAGAGGAGGGAGGAGCTAGCCTGCCTGTGCGTGGAGGGTGGAGGGTGGAGGGTGGAGGGCACTTGTACCCGACTCCATCTGCACTCCATCTGCAAGGCTGGCATGGGGCAGGCACACAGTGAAGACGCCCTCACTTGTCCCCAAGTTGGGAAGGCAAAGGAACCTGCAAGGCCACTCAGGTAAGGAGGAGTGCAGACATTCTCTCGAGGCTGTGACCCCTGAGCACAAGCCCTCCCCTAGGTGGGGAAAGAGACCTAGAGGGAGGGGCAGTCTGGAACGAGGTCCAGTCTGAGAACCTCTCCCAGGCCGGTCAGGAAGTCACAGATCCTCTGAGCATTCTTCCAGGATTGCTCAGCTCTGGGGACGACGCCTGGAGAGACAGGCGGCAGAGGAAGGTCGGAGGGTCCTGGTGCCTCTGCAGCAGCTCCCAGGCCAGCAGCGCCACCTGGTGGTCATATGCCCCAGGCACTTCAATCCTGCCGGCATTCCCAGCGGATCAGTGGAGGGGCTGGGGCCAGCTGGAGGGGCTCGCCCAGGCTGGGCTGGGGCCCAGAATGTGCCCCCTTAGCTCTGCCCACCCCTATGTGTGTGCAAGTTCCAGGGAAAGCCCAGAGAAAATAGGGTTGGCCCCAGGGGAATGAGCCCCATTGGAGGGGTCGGCCACTGTGATCATGGTGCATGGATGTAAGTGTGTGTATGGGGAGGCAGACGTTTTGTTGGGAGTGAGACCCTCAGTTATACCTGGCACAGGGTGGGTAGATAAACTGTTGATTGAATTAATGAATGAACGTGCTGGGGACTGTCCAGAGGACAGCCCTGCTCCTTTCATTAGCTCAGTTCAATCACTGATTGAGTGCCAAACACCATGGGAGGACACACACACACACACACACACACACACCAAAAGAAGAGACAGGGTTCACATACACACACACATACACATACTCACATACACACACATACAGACTCACATACACACACAGACTCACATACACACACACATACACATACATACACACACATACAGACTCACATACACACACACACAGACTCACATACACAGACACACACAGACTTACATACACACAGACACACACACACATACAGACTCACATATACACAGACTCACATACACAGAGACTCACATACACACAGACACACACACACTCAAATACACAGACTCACATACTCACAGACACACACAGACTCAAATACACACACAGACTCACATACACACACACTCATACACACACATACAGACTCACATACACATAGACACACACAGATTCACATACACACACAGACACACACACACAGACACACACAGACTCACACACACACACAGACTCACATACACACACATATACATACACACACAGACTCACATACACACACACACTCACATACACAGACACACACAGACTTACATACACACAGACACACACACATACAGACTCACATATACACAGACTCACATACACAGAGACTCACATACACACAGACACACACAGACTCAAATACACACACAGACTCACATACACACACACTCATACACACACATACAGACTCACATACACATAGACACACACAGATTCACATACACACACAGACACACACACAGACACACACAGACACACACAGACTCACACACACACACAGACTCATGTACACACAGACTCATGCACATATACATATACATAGGTACATACACACACTCACAAATGTAAATACATGTACACACACATATACAGACTCACATACACACATACACACATGTACGTATACATACAAACACAAACATACACACACGTGCATACACAGACACACACAGCGACTCACGTACACACACGTACGTACACACACGCACATACACACATCACATATACAATACATACACAGACTCACAAACACACACACAGACTCACATGCATATACACATACATACACATGCACATACATACACAATGTACACACAGACTCGCATACATATACACGTACATACACACAGATACGCAGACACATATACAACCATGCTCCACATAACATCGTTTCAGTCAGTGATGGGCTGCGTATATGACAGTGGTCCTGTCAGATTCCAAATAGCTGAAAAATGGCTGTTGCCCAGTGATGTCCCAGCCATCGTAACACTGTGGCACAGTGCGTTACCTTTTCTATGTGTGGATTTGTTTAGTTGCACACATACTTATCACCGTGTTACAGTCGCCCACAGGACTCAGTACAGTAACACGCGGTACAGGTTTGCAGCCTAGGAGCAAAGGCTACGGTGTAGAGCCGAGGGGTGCTGGAGGCCATTCCATCTGGGTTTGTGTAAGGACAGTCTGTGACGGTCCCCTAATGAGGAAATGGTCTAATGATGCATTTCTCAGAATGTGTCTTGTCAGTGAGTGACGCATGACTGTACATAGGTACATGGACACACACACTCACACATGCACACTGCTGCAGTTTGCACGGGTGCCCCTAGGTTCACATGTCAGAAACTCGATCACCAGTGTGACAGTGTTGGGATGAGGGGCCACTGGGAGGTGTTTGAGTCATGCGGGCACCACCCTCATGAATGGATTAATACGTTATCTCAGGAATGGTTCTTTTTCCCCCAAAGCAACAAAAGGTAAAAGCAGGGAATGGTTCATCATCCTGGGAGTGGGTTCCTTGGGAAAGGACAAGTTTGGCACACTCTCTGTCTCTGTCTGTCTCTCTATCTGTCTCGCCTTCACCACATGGGGCCCCTCCATCTTGGACTTCCCAGCCTCCAGAATTTGTTGAGCCAATTAATTCCTAGTCATTAGGAATTAGCCAGTTTGTGGTGTTCTGCACATGTGGTTATAGCAACAGAAAGTAGACTGAGACACACACACACACACACACACACACACACACACACATTCCTGCATGTACACATGAATGCCTGCGTACATGTAGACACACAGACACGCAGGCATGCATAACATGTGCCTACACACAGATCCACACACACTCACTTAATTCTCGCAACCTTGCCTTAAGGCAGAGGGTGTCCGCAATCTCCCCTTGACAGAGGAGGAAACTGAGGCTTAGGAAAGACACGTAACTTGCTGAGGGGCTAGTGTGATACAGGGGCCTGGCGGCTGGGCCATCCTGTTACCTGGGCTGTATTCTGGAGGGCCTGCTCTGGGTTGGGCTGTGGCAGCCTCTCTGTGATCTCCCGAGTTAGGGTTCTGGGAGCTCCCCAAAACCCTTCCATAGCTTTGTTCTGGAGAGGATGGTTGAGGTGGGGGATTCAGACTCCTGGACCTCAACCCTGCACCCCCACCAGGCCACTAAGAGGGGCACCCGTGGGGGTGAGTGGAGGACCCTGACCCCAGGCCACTGGTACCGCCTGGATGCCTGCAGTACACAGGGGATCCGATGTCCTTCAGCCCCCAGGCTGGCCCCGATGTGAAGTCTGATGGGTGTTGGGCCCCCGTGCTGCCCCCTTCCCCCACAGGTAGCTCATTTGCTGAGTTTCCAAGCAGAATAGTTTGTAAAATGTGCAATGCATTTGGGAGGGGATGAGCCTCTCATGGACAGTAGGGCAGGTACCAGGAGAGTGGTGGCCCCAGCCCTCCCAGTCCCCTGGGAGCCCCACCCAGGCACACCAGGTTCAGATGGTCAGTGCCTGTTCCCCCAGGAACTCTTGGTGGCTGAAGATGCCTGTGGACTCCCATTATGTAAAACACCGAGGATTCCCAAAACCCAGTGATGCTATAATGTCATTGAAATAGTGAGCACATAGATGATGTGGCATTTCCCGACTGGCCCTTGGGGTCAAGTGGTAGTCCGAAGGGCAGCTCTCACCGGGTGGTCAGACAGCACGCTGGACACCCAGGGGCCCCTCGATGCTGTGACACGCCAGGGAGGCACCCGGGTCCCTGATGTTCCAGTGCAGGACAAGTGACAGCCCACCTGGCCCACTCCTCCCCCCAGGTTCATGCCCCACCCCCACTCCATCTCAGCAGAGTGTCCCGAGGCCTCCCTGGGTTGTGGTGCCGGGCGAGTTCCCCTCTCTGTCCAGGACTCCCACGCTGGTGCCCTGGGAAGCTGGGGGGCTGTAGGAGAAGGACAGACTCAGAGCCTGGGGCTGGCTTATAAACACAAGAGCTTTTCCCACGTCAGCCCTTGGCGTCAACTTGTGAGGGCGTCCCCATGCAGGCGTGATAGGCAGAGGCTGTGCTGAGGGCCGGGGCAGCAGAGGAGGTGGGCAGGGCCCAGAGGCACTGGGTGGGTGCCTCGCACACCAGGGCTAGGGAACCATTTGTTCTAAGCTCTGGATTACAGATGGGGAAACTGAGGCCCAGAGAGGGGCAGGGACATGGCTGAGGTCTCGGGGGACCCCTGAGCAGCCAGGCCTCCGCTGCCTCCCTTGGGCGGGTGTGAGGGGCACCTGCGGTTTGGTGTTAGGCTCCCACCTACAGGGGCAAAGCCCAGGCTCAGAGGTGACCTGGAATCAGCGAATCAGGGGCCGAGCTGGACTAGGCAGGAGGGTGTGTGGTTGCAGCAGGTGAGCTCATCTGTAAAACGGGGGTGCGACACCCCTGGCCCTGCCAGCCTGTCCAGGTCTGCGCGGCACTTGGCGCTCCCAGCACCACACCCTCCAGGAGAGGCCCAGCTGGGAGTCATCTGGAAGAAGTCCCTCCTGGCCCAGGTGGGCAAAGAGAGGACCAGGAGGGAATGACGTCGAGCACCTCTTCCTCATTGGAGCCCTCCTGGGTGACCCCGTCCTGTGCCCAACACGTGACTGTTCTCCCTGGGGCTGGCCACGTGGGGGTAGGATCTGAGCACCCCTGCAGCTGAGCCACGAGAGCACAGGACTCCCCAGGGCTCTGCAGGGGGCCTGGCCTCAGCTCCAGCTGAGTTCTGGAGAGGTGCTGCAGGGGAGAGTTAGGTAGACACACCTGGAGGCCCAGAACTAGCCGAGGGATGGTGAAGGGGTCATCCGTGCTGAGTCCTTGAGGGCTCAGTGAGGCCGAGGAAAGGTGGGGCAGGGTCCAGTCTGGAGGGTGAGGCTGGGCCTTGTGGCCTGTCCTGGGGTGGGGGTGGGGAGGAATCAGTTTCAAGAGGCAGCCCCAGGAAGAGTAGGGGCAGAGGAGGGGGTGGGACTTGACAAGCGGAAGGCCCTGGCTGGGGCTGGGCACAGGCTGCTGGGCCAGTGGGGCGGGGGCCAGGAGTCATGGAGCAGGTGGTCCGAGGAGATGGGGTGAGGGACCATCCAGGGGGAGGGAATGGCAGGGGACAGGACTGGGAGCAGGAGAGTGTGGTCTCATGGGCGGAGCCACTTCCCCAGGCCTGTCCTGGCCCTCCAGCCGCAGCCCCTCCCCTCGGCCCCTCTATCTCCTCCCACCTTTCCTACTCACCCCTCCACTCCCTCCTGCACCTGGGCCCGCCCCTCCACAGCCAGAGACGTTCTGCAGACGCTGAGCTTGACTGCCCCCTCTCCCTGGCCCACAGCTTTCTGGTGGGGGGTCAGGATGTAGGGGGTGGCCTTGACCCTGGAGTCAGGCAGGGCTGGGAGGGGAATTCCAGCTCCTTTTTGAGGTGGCGCCTGGGAACGCTGGGTTGGTCCCATGATGTCTCTAAGCCTCAGTTTTCTCCGCTGTGAATTGGGTGCACAGACCCCTTCGGGTGGGGGCCCAGCTCTGGAGGGTGGGCGGATGTGGCCACGTGGGTCCCCTCTCATCCCGTGAGGGGTGGGGAGCACAGAGCGCTGGGCTGCAGAGGCCCTGAAGGAGAGAGGAGGGGCTGTGTGTGAAGAGGCAGGGAGGCTGGAGTCAGAACTGCTAAGCCAGGTGGCAAGCAGGGTGTGCGGGTGTGGAGATAGGGGGTGTCCAGCTCCAATAGGGCACACGGTGGGGGTCTCCAGCGCAGATAGTGCACCCCCACCCCGCTCCATGCCTTCAGGCCTCCAGGAAGCTGGGGCAGGCACCCAGGCGACATTTCCTGCTATTAATGGAGCTTTAATCTAAACAGGCCCTAATATTTACATCCAGACGCCTCCGGCTGCCGCGGGTGCCAGACTGTGGGAGTGATGAGCCCCCAGACAGCGCCTCCCCACCCAGAGCTCTGCTGGGCCAGACCAGAGACCGAGAACTGGGCACCTGGGGGCCCTGGTTTGAGCCCCCTCCCTGACCACCCCCAAAGCCTAAGTTTCTCCTCTAGGAATGGAGGTGGTCATCTCACCCTCCCAGGTTCAGTGAAGGGGCCACTCAGTGGCACTTAGTAGGCCCACAGGGAGGCCAGTGCTCCCTCTCCCTGGTGTGTTGGACCAGCTGTCCTATCCCCTCCCTCTCCCTCTAGGCCATATCTCTGCTGATATGATAGGACTCAGTGGCTGTGGGTGGTCTGGCTGCCTCGCCCACCTCCACGTCCTTGCCCTGGGTAGGCAGGTTCGGGATCAGGGATGGAGCGCCTTGTTCTGCTGGTCCATGCCCCCCACCCAGCTGCTGTGCCCACACCCTGCTGGCAAGTCAGCCACTTGTGCCCCCTCCATCCCCTGCCCATCAGAGCTGGGCAGGGCTCAAGGCCCCTAAATCTGCCTCCCAGCAGGGATGACAAAACCACAAAACCACTGCCGCTGCCTCCCTGTGGAGCCCTGCTGGTCCGCAGGACACAGAGTTGGGGCGTGCGTAGGGCTGCCACCCTGCTCCATACCCTCCGCCAGCTCCATGTCCCCCACCAGCCCAGGACCAGAGTCGTGGGCAAGAATAGAATAAACAGCTTTAATTCCAGACGAGGACATCTCGTGAAGGAGATTGTTTACGTCGGATATAAATACACACACCATTTCACGTCACTTGGGCGTTTTGAAAATCTGGAAAGGGAGATCATGGGGAGGGGGCGCAAAGATCTCACGCCCTGTCCCCGTGAGTGTGGAGAGGGGGCACGCACAGATCTCACCTCTGCCCCTGTGGGACCAAGGACAGTCTTGGTCTGACTTTTGAAGCTCCTGGGCCTCGGTGCCCACAGAGGAGGCTGAAGTGGGAAGGAGCCGGCCGTCAGGAGAAGGAAGCAAGCAGCCGGGGGAGCTGTGGGGCCCAGTCCAGGGCATTGGGGTGACCCCCTTCCCCAGCCCCCTGCCCTCCAGCTGTAAGGCTGAGGAGAGGAGAAAGAGGAGTGGGGTGTGGAGAAACTGAGGCTTGCCTATCAAGGGTTCTGCATCGGGGGCTGGCAGGCAGTTCTCAGAGGTCTGAGGGTGGGCCCCAAGCCTGTGTCCCTGGCCACAGAAGACAGGCGGCCTGTCCTCTCCAGCATGAGTGGTAGTGGACGCACTTGCCGCTTCGGACAGGATGTCCTTCCCCTCCCGGCCTCTTACAGTCTGAGAAGCCTCTGAGGCCCGAGGAACCCAAGTTGAATGATTGGATTTCAGATGTGGGGACAAGGAGGGGACCTGGCTCACCTGCCTTAGAGACCCCTCCTCCTGAAGAAAGGGATTGTTCCAGAAAAATTGCAAGCCCTGCCTCTTCAAGCACAGCAATCCTCAAGTGTCAGCCATTCACTCTTTAGCGTGAATTAGAGTGACAACCAGGAATGGAGCCAGGCTGGGGGTCATTGATGGGGAGGCCAAAGGCCCGAGGGGCACGTAACACCGGTGGAGGAGGGGCAGGGAAGACTGGCGGGGAAGGGGCCGGGAAGACTGGTAGGGGAGGGGAGGGGCTGGGAAGCTGCATGGAAGGCCCTTCACTGGCCCCAGCGAGGCGGGCGCTTGGCCTTACCTTTGCCCAGGCCATTCCCCCTCATCTTAGCACTCCTTCCCGCTGGCCCCTGCCTCCTTGCAGCCCTGGGCTGGAGAGGTCTTCACAGTACAGTGCGGGACCAAGGGCAGAGGGGTGTCATACTCTAGGCCACGTGCAGAGCTTGCTTGAGGGGCGGGAGTGGGAGCCGGCAGGTAGTCTCTGGGGCTTGGGGCGCCCCCTAAGATGGAGCAAGAGGATCCACAGCTCCTGGAGGAATGGAGTCCAGAGTCCCTGGCCCTGGATGACTTGTGAGCGTGGGTGGAGGGGTCCCAGGTAAGCAAGGCCATTCAGGGACTGCTGGGCCACATGAGCCTGGAAGAAGCTCATGGCTTGGGCTGGGCAGGACACCTGAGCCCTGACCCCTCACTCCTCAGCTCTAGGCATGTGACCACGTGGGTGCCAGCTCGCAGCCCTGGGAATGATGGCTCGCTGGCTGTTGGTGCCTGCTTGCCTGAAAGTCGCCGTGAATGCTGCACCTGTGGTCAGCGGGGTTTTTCTGCATGCACAGCCCTGTCCCCCAGCCACGTCCTTTCCTGAACGCTGGGCCCCTCTGCCTTGTGGAACCCTGCATCCCTGGTAAGCCACGGCCCCTCTCTGAGCAGCACCCGAGAGCTGGGGGCTGGGGGAAGGTTCCAGAATTGTGCCTGGTGCCTGGTAAGTATCAAGAATGCTGGCGGCCATGGTGATACCCACTGCTTCTCGGGCATCCGGACCCAGGGAGGAAGTAACCCTGGCAGCACTCCCAGTTCCACCACCTTGCGGGGCACGCCTCTGACTCCTCTGGGCCGGTGCCCCCCACCCCAGCTGCTCCACATGGCCACAGCTGGGGTTGGTGAGGACAATACTGGCCTTGGATGACTCAGGCACTCACTCTATGACCTTGGCAAGCCCCTTTCTCCCTCTGAGCCTCAGTTTCTTCATTTGTAACATGGGGATATAAAGTCCAGGACCCTAAACTGGGGTCAGGAGACTCTGCCTCGAGCTGAATCGGGGAGCCCCGGCCTTTTCCTCCTCCTCCCCCTCCTGCTCCCAGCCACACAGGCCACGGTCACCCTGAGTGTGTAGGACTTCTCTGTAGCCAAAGGCCTGGCCTGAGGACCTGAGCCCATCTCGCCTGCTTCAGTGGCTATGGCCAGGTCTGATGGCAGGGCCTCAGAGCCGGAAGTGCCAGGGATGCCCCACACTCCTCTTCCTCACCACAGGCTCCCTTCCCCATTACCAGTCCTGAAAGGGCTGGGAGCTTGGACGCTCGGCAGAAGGCACGTGGGAGGAAATCCTGGAGTCCAGCTCTGAGGAGATGATCAGAGGCCCCAGCCAGAGAAAAGCTCCCTCCCTAGTGAAGGCATGGGGACTCATAGTGAGCTGGGCCAGAGCAGCTGGTCACGTCCTCTCTGCCCCCGGGGGGAGGAAAATGGCTGTTTGCATGGGGAGATGGTGGCCACAACCCGGCATGCCTGGGTTCACTGCTGCGTGACTTTGTTCTTGGTTTTCTTATCCATAGGATGGGGCTGTGAACACTGCCTCTACCTGGGGCAGCAGGTGAGCCATTCTGAGGCCATTCCTAGAGTGGGGGCTTTGGGATGATCGTGCACTCTCTGTGGAAGGAGGTGCAAGGGCACTGGAGGAGGTGGGGCTGGTTTTCATTCTGACCCTGCCATTTCCCAGCTGTGGCCCCTGTGTGTGTCACTTGACCCCTCCAGCACCAAGAAATGGATGAAAAGTAGCGTCTCCTTTGTGGGTTGTTGTGGGTTCAAGTGTCAACCTAGATATCACAGTGCTTGCTCACAGCAGAGCGGCCTGTGGGTGTCTGCCGTTTTATCGTGCAATTCACGGAGGCCTCAGGTGGGGGGGTCTTGCAGAGACATGCACCCCCCCCCACCTCCATTAATGCAACACGAATGCTCCCTGGCCTTTTCTTTCTGTCCTTGTCCTTCCTCCTGTGTGTGTGTTGGAGGGAGCATTGTTGTTGTTAGCTCTCTCGGGAATTCAGGTTGTTTCTTAACTCTCTTGGGAATTCCCAGCACCTAAATAATCTTTGTCCTTTTTTCTTTTTTCTTTTTCATCTCATCCTTCTAATCAATGGAATCCACTGTGCCCTTTTTTCTGAGGAACTCCTTCTGGAGACAAACTGGCCAAAGTGAGGAGCAGCTCCCGGCTACCCCTGTGAGTTTTCAGTGGACGTGCTATACCCCAGGAACAGCAAATCACCGGCATTCAGGCCACCACATCCCATCGGAGCCAGTGGCAGACATTGCTAATCAACCACAGCACAGTGGCCTTAGACGCTCAATGCGGTGCTCTGGGTAGCCATCACCAATCAATCGAGATGGAACCGATTGCCACCCCTGGCATGGTGGGTGTCCACGCTGGCATGCCCAGATGAGTCCTGACCTTCGGCCCCTGGCAGAGCCCTGCTGACTAAGCCTCGGGCCCATTAGCCAGGGCCTGGGTGAGGGCGTGAGGGCCGGCACTGAGGATGTGATGACGGCCTGAGCCCTTGGAGCTCCTGTGCATGCTGACCACGTCACCGCTGCTGGGCTCACGCTCTCCGTGCTGGCCGAAGAGGCCTCGGACGGTGGCCTGGAAGCCACTGGTGACGAAGCAGTAGACGATGGGGTCCATGCAGCTGTTGAGGCTGCTGAGGGTCACGGCCACGTGGTAGACCACGAGGCTCGTGTGGTGTGGCATGTCGGGCCACAGCGCCACGGCCACTTGGCGGGCGTGGAAGGGCGTGAAGCAGACGAGAAAGATGATGAGCACCGTGAGCAGGAGCTGCATGGCCCGCACGCGGCGCTGGCGACCCTGGTGGAGCAGACCCGGCCGCGACAGTGCACACATGATGCGGCCGGTAAACACGCTGATGACCAGCAGGGGCAGCAGGAACTCCAGGACAGTCAGCGCAAAGACACGGCAGCAGGGCCGGCTGCCTGTCACGCCCAGCACCGACAGGGTGACGGCACCGGCGGCCAGCCACACGAAGGCGCACACGGCCCTGGCACAGGCAGGCTGGCGGCAGCGGCGGGAGCCTTCGGGCCGCACGATGGCCAGGTAGCGGTCCACGCAGATGCAGGTGAGGAAGAGGATGGAGCAGTGCATGTTGAGGAAGTAACCGAGGACGTGCGGGAAGGCACAGCGCAGGCAGCCCCTGGCGCCGTAGTACACAGCGAAGCGCGTGGGCAGGGACAGCCCTACCAGTAGATCGGTCACCACCAGGTTGATGGTGTAGATGACTGAGGGTGTCTTGGCCCGGGTGCGGCAGCAGAAGACGTACAGCGCCAGCCCGTTGAGCACCAGCCCTGCCAGGAAGATGGCTCCGTGCACCGCCATCAGCGCCAGCCACAGGCCTGGGAAGGTGCCATGCAGCTCCTCGTCCAGCCGGGCAAACAGGTGGAACAGGGGCACCTCCAGCCCGCTGGCATTGGTCCGCACTGTTGTCACTGCGGTGGCATTGGGGACTGCCCCGGCCGAGGGCCCCGCTGGAGACACAGAGGGCATGACGGCAGCCAGCACACCCCAGGCCTGGAAGCAAGGAGACCAGGTCACCCCAGGCGCCAGCCTGGCCTTAAGCCCTGCCCTGAGGCCCAGAACTCAGCTGGCCCGTCTGCCCCTGCACGCCCAGCATCCCCCTTCTCCATGCCCTCGCCTGGCTGGGGCCTCAAATGCCTGCTCCCTTGGCTCTACCCAGAGGGAGCCTCGGACAGCAGCAGAAAAGGCACAGGCTTTCAGAGTCAGACGCGTGTTCAAATTCCAGGACTGGCACTTGCCAGCGTGGAGACTCGACAAAATACGGAGGTTTCTGCGACCGTCCTGGCACGAGGGGGAGGCGGAAACACGTGCGGTGCAGGGCTGTCCTCGGGATGGAGAGCTGATAAGGGCAAGACCACGGGGCTCCAGTGTGCAGTTCCAGGGCCTGGCTCCAGCCCCAGCTGTGCCACTGACTAGTGTGCTTGCTCGGGTAGGCCACTTAACCTCTCTACCTGCTTCCTAATCCATGTCACTGGGATCGCGTTGCTGCTGGGGTGACTAAGCAAGCGGGTCAGCACGGCAGCGCCAGCAGAGTTGGTGGCTGATGACCCAGTTCTGCTGGGACAGAGCCTTGTTCATGGTGGGGACCTCTGACTGCCCTGCCCACTCCCCTGTCCCCACACCCACCGTCATGGCCCCCATCCTCCGGGACCACCCATCTGTTCTCCCCTCCTCCTAGGCCAGCATCAGGTCAATGCCCTGGATGGGGGTCCTCATGAGGGACCTTTACAAAGGGAATTAGGCTGTCCAGTGGGGCTGCATGGGAGCCAAGGACCAGTCTCACTGGGCACCCCAGGCTCCTACTGGCCCTGAGAGGCGGGCACCCCTATGATCCCCCCAAACTACAGAAAAGGAGACAGAGGCCCCTGTGGGGTGGCTGGTTGGGGCTGAAGCCTGGAGCCAGAGTGTGAGTCAAATAAACACCGAGCTCCCGTCTGGCCTGGGCAGGGGGGCCAGGGTGGGGGGCGGGCGAGGGGCTGTGCCGGAGCCACCCACTCTGTTTATGTTCCTGCCCTGGCGTGTTTAACTCGGCAGTGATTTATCCCTCTATTTATAAATGAAGGGTTAACGGCCCTACCCCCACCCTACAGCTGGGCTGACCCTCCAAATAAGGGCATTTCTGGCTTTTTCAGGAGAAAGGAGAAGTCTTTGGGGCCAGCAGGGTGGGGAGGCTCGTGGGCCGTTTCTTCTGCACAGCGCCCCTCCCCCACCTGCTGGAGAAGGGAGGACACTTACCCCTTCCCCTCCTGGTGGCCCCTGCTGTAAACAGGCTGTGCCCCGCCACTCCCTCTGACCAGTGCGTGGCCCCATCCCACCCCTGGGGAACAATGAGCCCTGCCTTCAAACAGCCCCTGGCCTGGCTCAGGGCAGCAAAAGAACTCTTGCTTTCAGAGGGCCAGGTCCCTCCAGTCGGCGGCCACCTTCTTCCTCAGAGTCAGAGAGGTCAGTGCCTGCATGAGGTCACCCAGCATGCCCTCTGCCTCTGGGACCCCAGCCCTGGGTGCGTGCTACCCTGGAGGCTGCTGGGAGGAGTCAAGTGCTGCCCAGGCCTGTGCCCAGCCCCTCCTGCCACCCCCACCACACAAGGGCCCAGGCTCAGCTCCCAGCTCCCCCCGACTGCAAGCAAGCTCTCTATCTCCAGGCCCTGACACGCGGGCATTGATGGGTGCATTTGTTGGATGAATAGGTCTGTCCTCCCTCAGCCCAGGTGTGCCACCAGAGACGGGATTTGGGGGCACAGCAGGCAGCCAGGGGAGGAGAGGAGGCTGGGCACATGGGGGCTGGGAACCTGGCGTCTCAGGGCTGTGGGCTTCAGGAGCCCCAGAAGGTCCCCCCGAAAGAGATGCGTCCCTCCCCTGCTGTGGATGAAACGCTCTCAGAAAAGGTCGAGGCGGCTTTGCAGCTGGACTGAGGGACTGCATGGCCAAAAAAGTATTTTGGGATTCCTTTCTATGTGCCTTTTGCTTTTCCAATTTGTCTGCACGGGGCCTATATTAGTGTCCCAATCAGAGACAAATCATAAACAACACAGAACGTTTCCTGTGGGAGTGAGTCCCAGGGTGATGCTGGCCCCTGGGAATTCTGCTGTCCCAGAAAACTCCCCAGGGCCAGCCCAGCAGGCTCACCAGCAACGCTGCGGTGCTGGGGTCCTGGCTAGGGATGTGGGGGCTCTGCGGTCTCTGGAGCTGGGGGGATGGGCAGAATGTGCTGGACACCCCAGAGGCCAGACCGGAGAGGAGAGGGAGCTAGCAAAGCATGCTCTGATTCCCCGCACTAAGGGTCTGACCCTGATCTCAAACAAAGCTGAACCCTCATCTTGGTCACACACTGAGCCATGATCCCAGTAATGTGATGAACCTCGATCCCTGTCCCACTCTGAGCCCTGACCCTGGTCACACACTGACCCCAATCCTAATAGCACAATGGGCGTTGATTCCTGTGGCGCTCTGAGCCCTGATCCCAGCCACGACCTGGGCCCTCAGCCCGGACCTTCTGTCCCTGTCTCTGCCCTCCTCTCCCAGCTTCGTCTGGCTGTCTCTGTCTCCATATTGTCAACCCCCACCTGCCTCCCACAGCGACGGATGTCCCGATTCGATTATTACGGGGCCTCTCTGGGGCTCCCACTCACCACCCTCTTTGTTCAGAAGGAGGAGGAATGCAAGCGGGGACTCTAGACCCTGCAGGGGCCCATGGAAGTGGCTCCCTGGCGAGTGCCTGGGGAAAGGAGAAGGTTCCGCCCCTCCTGGGACAGCCTGGCTCTGCCTGTGGGAGAGGCACAGACTCTGCTCTCCGGAGGGCCCGGGTGATGAGCAGTCACCAGCACAGAGACCCGGGTTTGAGTCCAGCCCTGCCACTCCCTCAGCTGAGACCTGGGCCTGGTCAGTAGGCTGGCCGTCCTCATCTGCTGAATGGGGTCACTCGTGCCTTCCACAGCTCTGCCTCGCCCTGGTAGCCTGGACTGAGGGGAGAGGCATGGTTTTACCCTCAGAGCCGGCCGGAGAGGGGAGGCAGGGCCCTGTCCCCAAGCCTAGTTTCCCTAAGCCAAACCTGGGTGTGGGGGAGATGGTCCTGTCTCCTCCCTCTTTCCTGGCAGGCACCCTGGGTCTGTCTGAGACAGCAGACTCCATGGCGGGGGCCAACTGGCCAGAGTCTCATGGGCAGGGACTGGCACCGTGTCCTGATCGTGCTGACATGGTGTTGGGGCTCAGGGCCTGGAGGCTGTGCCAGGGCTGGGAGGTTTCTCTTTTCCACTGGCCCAGGCCAGCTCTGCTCCCCACCCACACACAGGTACTTCCTTGGGGACAGAACAGAGGGAACGAGGGCCTGCTCTCCAGGGCTGAGAGTCAGTGAGTGGAGACCCAGCAGGGTAGGGACCTGGAGTGTGGCCATGGAGCCCTGGCTCTGGCCTGGATGGCCCTGCCAAAGCCTGGCTCCATCTCTGAACGGACTATGTGGCCTTACAGTCTCTGAGCCTCAGTTTCCTCATCTGTAGAGTGGGCAAAATAGAATCTCCCCTGGGGGTTCTTGTCCTGATGTGCCAGCCCAGAGTAGGGGCTCAGACACAGGAAGTGATGAAAGTATGGGACAAGCTGCCAGCGGGGGACCCAGAGGGCGAGGGGGCGAGCTCTGCTCCAACCTGGGTGTGCAGCCTAGACCAGGTCCAGCTCCCACACTACTCACTGCCCCCGCCAGCCTGGAGGGAGGGCTCTGACCTGGGTGGGTCCTCTCTGAGCCTCAGTGTCTCCTCCTGTGAAGTGGGAATGGCCGGACACGCTGCCCTGCATGGCTGTCTTGGGCCTTGGCTGAACAGAGCACCTGCTGCAGGTGTGGCGGGGCAGGGGCAGGTGTGCTGCGGCATCTCTTTCTTTTCTGTTTCTGGCCCACCCTTCCGGGTGGGCAGACCCCCAGAGCCCCCACCCCTCCAGGTGGGCACACCTCCCAGAGCCCCGGCCTTTCAAGGCTTCGCTGAGCTCCTCCAGGGGAGGGGGCAGAGGGTGAAGGAGGATGTCCCTCATGCCCTCCCCGTAGGTATCACATCACAAAACAGCCGTCCTAGGCGGGGCTGCCGCTGGGTTGGGGGTTCTCCCTGGGAGGGGCCTGAGGCCTGGACTGCTGGGCAGGGCTGGGGATGTGCCTCTCCAGTCACTGCACCTGACTGATGCTTCTGCAGGCGAAACTACTAGCGGGGCCTAAACACTCCATGCGCCCTCCAGGCCCAACCCCAAGCTGTTCCTGCTCTCTCCCTTTCGGCTTATTCATGCCCATTTTTAGGACTTCCCCCTGGACTTGCCTCCTTAAGGAAGCCTTCTTCCTCCCTGGGCTGCCTCTCTCTGGTGCATCCTCCCAGGGCACCCTGCGCTTCCTCAATCCCAGGGTTCATCCCACGGCGCTGCTATGTGCTGCAGGCTTCCCTGTTGGACTCTGAGCATCTTGAGGCGGGGCTGTGGGTGGGGGCTGAGCTCCCATCTGTTCCACCAGCCCAGCACCCAGATTGGCCTGGCAGAGAGCAGCACCCGTCTTCCCCCTTGTCTGAATGAACGCCCTGAGCAAGCCTCATCAGGGCTGGCAAGGTGTGGCCTGGTTTCTCAACCTGGCATTCAGGGTGAATGCCACCTGGCCTGGCCCCCTCTGAAACCTGCCTACCCAGTGTCTTGGTACTGGTCTGGAATTGGCTTCCACCCCCAGCCCCATCGTCACTACCCATGAGTCCTCCCAGCCGAGCAAGGCTGACACCTCCTCCCGGAAGCCCGTCCTAATCACTCTGACCATTGTGTCCACACTTACATTCCTTCCCACCCTCTATCTCCCATCACCACTCTTTCTTTCTTTCTTTTTTTTTTTTGAGACGGAGTGCTGTGGCGAAATGTCGGCTCACTGCAACCTCCACTTCCTGGGTTCAAGTGAGTCTCATGCCTCAGCCTCTGGAGTAGCTGGGATTACAGGTGCCCGTGCCACACCTGGGTAATTTTTGTATTTTTGGTACAGATGGGGTTTCACCATGTTGGCCAAGGTAGTCTCAAACTCCTGGCCTCAAGTGGTTTGCCCACCTTGGCCTCCCAAACTACTGGGATTACAGGCGTGAGCTACTGCGCCCGGCCCCATCACCACTCTTGATAGCAATGGTCTTTGGTTTGCAGGCCAGCTCTACCACCCGCCACCTTCGAGGCCTCGGGCAAATCATTTCATCACTGGGAGCCTCAGTTCCCTCACCTGGGACTTTGGGAACCATATTTGTTGAATGAATGAATGAAATCAGGCAGGGTGGCTGGACTAAGTGAGAAATACTGCAGACACCCCCAACATGGGAGGCGTGCGATATAAGAGCACGGGAGGCTCCTGGTTTTGGCACCTGGATGGGGCCCTGTGTGGACCAGCCCGCTCACACGTGGGGAGAGGCCAGGGCCAACACGTGTGCTCAGTGCAGGACTTCTCAGAGCCTTTGTGAAACTCACGGTCCTGGGAACTTCCAAGGGGTGGGAGCGAGCATCGAGCATGGAAGCTATTTGACCCTGTCCCCTCCCTGGGGGTTCCTGCTCCATCCATCCCAATGGCCACACCACTAGTCCATGCCCAGAGCACTGATGGGGGCTGCTGCCTCCCTGCCCTCACCCACAGCTTGTTGAATTTCTGCTGGGCACCCGGCCATGGAAGGCCAGACCCCTGGGCTTGGGGTGCTGGCACCTGCCCAGAGGCCTCCAGCGGGGCACCAGGGTCATGCCGGCCTCCGTCCTTGGCCGGTGGGTGGGGAGGGCTATGTCCTCTCTTCCCTGGGCTCCTCTCAAACCCACCCCACCAACCTGGGAGTTCTCTCTTGGCTGCCCAGCAGCCTGTCTGCCTCTGTCCTGCCACATGTGAGACCAGGCAGCAGAGTGGCCCCGGCCCCAGGGCAGCAGATGGCCCAGGGTGGCTGTTGAGCCTGCCTGGGGGTCTGGCTCAGGACCCTGTGTGCTGTCTGTGGACGTGTGGAGGACGGGCCCAGCCTTTTCCCCACAGAGGGGCTCTGAGCACCTGCTAAGGGCGCTTTGCATCCACACAGCAATCCCAGGTTTTACAGATGAGGAACCGGAGGCCCAGAGGGGTGAGTGGTGTCCTCACGGTTACCCAGCATGGAGCTGGTGGGGCTGGGAATCAGACCCAGGTCCACTGGCAGGACCCGGCACAGGCCGGAGTGGAGCAGAGTGCGGGCTGGGGAGCAGAGGGGCTGGATTAGGCATCTCTGGACCGGGAGTTTGTGCACAAGGGGATTCTCCGGGCCCTGAGGCCGCATGTGTGACCACGGGTCTGTGTGTGCTTGAGCCTGCACCCCAGACGGCGTGGCCCTCATGGCCTTCCAGGGCTAAAATAGCCATGATTCGGGGAACTGTCTGCCTGTTTATTTTTATGATTATTCTTGGTTTCACAGCATCTGCTTTTGAATATCATCTGCTGTTTTTGATAAGTCTGAGCCTCCGTTTCTTCCACCAAGAGGCAGGTGGGTGCTTGCTGAGCTCTCCAAATGGGGTCAGACTCACCCCAGGTCACCTAGCAAGTCCCAGGTGACCCTGGCCAGAAGCCAAGTCTTTCTCCCTGTCCCCCACGCCCACAGGCCAGGGCTCCCTCCACCCCAGTGCAGAGAGAGACGTCACTGGTGGGCACAGACTGAGCTCTGTGGGGAAGGACACCTGGGCCCCATCTGACCCGACTCTGCCTCAGTTCCACCAGCTAAGAGCCCTCTTGCTGAGACTGCGGCTCTAACGGAAACACCAGTGTCTCTGGGAGGGGCATAGCCAGTTGGAGGTCCTGCATGTCACCTGCCAGCCCCTCCCTGCCTCCCCATCATTGGGTTCATTGCTCACCTCTAGCTGGGTGTCTCTGGGAGGGGCATGGCCAGTTGGAGGTCCTGCGTGTCACCCACCAGCCCCTCCTTTCCTCCCCATCACCGAGTTCATTGCTCACCTCTAGCTGGGATAGCCGTAGCTGCAGCAGCTCCTGAAACCCCTCCCCAACCTCAGCCTCTCCAGGAGCTGCTGGGACAGGCATTCTGTCATGTGCACCTGCCTGGCCTCAGCCTGGTCCTTCCGCCTGAAGCTCCTCAGCCTGGTCCTCTCAGCCTCTTCCCTCTGCATGTGCTGTTCCTTCTGCCCGGAATGCTGTTTCTCTCCCTGTGCCACCTGGTGAAGGCTCCGGGCACCCACAGTCATTGTTCCACAGAGCTCTCCCTGAGCCCCTCTGATGCCCTAGTGCCCTGGATGCCCCTGCCCCAGGGGGAGAGCTATGATCCCACAATCTGAAGGGCACCCGCTGGGCTCATCCTTCCCAGGGTCTTATTGACTTCCCTCAAGATGCCCCTGGGTGGGTGTTTCTGGCCCCACTGTGCCTGTGGGGAACCAATACAGAGGGGCTAAGTCATGTGTCCGGGCTCACCCAGCTGGGGTGCAGGAGGGGCTGAGCTCTGCCTCAATCTGCCTGCTGGCACTTTGTCCCAGTGCCTGGGATCAGCCTTCTGCGGCACCCAGCCCTGTGTGTGGAGGGAATCAGAGGCCCCAGGCCACACAGCCCCGTGCAGTTTGGAGGTGTCAGACCAGGACTTAGACCCCAGCACTGCGGGCACAAATGGGTCCCAGGCAGACCTGGCCCCACCTTTCCGAGCTGACAGCTCAGGGTAGGGTGGGAGGTGGCTGGTCACGGCCGGGATGGGCCTCAGGACAATCAGAGGGAAGAGCGCTCCCGGCAGCAGGAAGGGCACAGTGAGCATGAAGGGCCAGAGGTGGGAAGGAGAGTCTGTGTTCAGGGCTCTGTGAGACACCGGGGGCGTGGGGAGGGCTTTGGGACGTATGGTGAGGGGATCAACTTAAGGTTCTTTGGGCCCTGACGCCCCTCCTCAGGGAGGCCCTCCAGAGCCCACAGCCCCGCACGCCTGCACCGCCTGGCTTCCTTCGCAGTGCCCTGCCACGCGCAGTTCCCTATGTCCCTGCTTTCCTGTTCGCTGTGCTTCCCTCACTGAACTGGAGTGCCTCAGGGGCCCTGGCCTTGGCTGGCCCCTCTGAGTCACTGAGTCACTGCTGAGTGATGGAGTGGATGATTTTAGAATACCCCTCTGATCTCCTTGAGCCTCAGTTTCCTCATCTATAAAGAGGAGATGCTAATACCACTTAACAAGAAGACAATGAAGCCACCCCGTGGGCTCCAGGAGCTGCTCAGAAATGGTCCAAACTGCATGGCCCCCACGCCCGGCTCTCCAGCCGCAGACCCCGCCTTTGCTGATGGGCCCACACCGTGTGGCTCAGAGAGGGGCAGCGACTTGCCACGGCCACTCAGCAGACCGCCCTGGAGCCCAGCGACTGGATGAGTCCTGGGGGGAGAGGGGAGGGAAGACCCAGGATGACCAGCTGTTGAAGGAAGAAGACAGGGCAAGTGGACAGGCCCAGCCTCCTGCGGGGTGCATTCCCCGTCCTGCGAGGTCGCCAGCTGCTCCACGTCTGCCCCGCCAGCACCCTGGCTGCTGGCCAGTTCCCAGCCCGCTGCCCCCTCGGGACCCTGTCCTGCCGCCTTCTCACAGCGCAGTCCCAGTGCGAGCTTCGCGGGGCTGGAGCCAGCTTCTAGGTCCACACTGAGGGCTGGCAAGCAAGCCTTCCCTGGGACTCAGTTTCCCCACCCCTAAGGGGTAGAGACAGCACCAAGGCTACTGCAGAGGGCCTGAGCTGTGGGATGGCAGGACGGGCACTCTGAAGAGGGAGCATGGCGCTTGGAGCCCATGCCCACAAAGCCCTCACCATGGCCCTGCCCCAGCTGCGGGGTGGTGGTGGCTGAGGCCCCAGAGCCTGCCAAGTGCCTCTGGGGTCCCCCAACTCTGTCCCTGGCTTGGCCTGTGGGCCACCCTGCTGCCTTGCCAGGTGGGGAAACCAAGACCCAGCTCTGGGCACCCAGCAGATGCTCGGTGAGTGTTGAACGGAGGGATGAATGAGTGAATGAATGAAATCCAGAGTTGGGTGGGCACCTAGCAGCGCAGCTCCCCCTTATGCAGCCAGCCCAACTCACGCCCATGTTCTCCCTCAGGTCTCTGTTTTCTCATCTGAGAAATGGCTCCCTGTCCAGCAGGACCTGCTCTGAGCTCTCCCCAGCCCGGATCTGGAGGCAGTTTCTCTGCCCTGCCCTTCCCACTCCTGCTTGGCTGGGGGTGAGAACCCCTGCAGGGAGCAGCTCAGGAGCCTCCTATCTAGGGAAGCTGGGGAGAGGGAGGCTGGGGCCAGCCCACAGGGGAACTTACCGCGCTTCACCCGGGCAGGCTGGAGATGGGAGTCCTCAGCTCTCAGCTCTGCATGCAGCCCGGACCTCGCCTTCCTACGGCCTGACGTCAGGCCAGCGCTTGGGGCTCCTTTTGGGCAAAGGCAGGGTGGGGGCGGGGCAGGCTCCTTCCCCGCCCCCAGGAGGAGTCAAGGCTCAGAGCCTGAGGGACGGTGCCTGGGGCACCAGAGTCCCCACACCCACTGGAGACAGAAGAAGAAACCGAGGCACAGAGGGGCCTGGGGCACCAGAGTCCCCACACCCACTGGAGACAGAGGGGGAAACTGAGGCACCGAGGAGCTGAGCCTCAGCTGCACCATCCAGGAGGTGGTGGCTGGCACTTGTGTGTGCCGTGTGCAGGGCAGGAGGTGGGAAACTGAGGCACGGAGGGGCTAAGCCTCAGCTGCACCATCCAGGAGACAGTGGCTGGCACTTGTGTGTGCTGTGTGCGGGGCAGGAGGGGGAAACTGAGGCACGGAGGGGCTGAGTCTCAGCTGCACCATCCAGGAGATGGTGGCTGGCACTTGTGCGTGCTGTGTGCGGGGCAGGAGGGGAAAACTGAGGCACAGAGGGGCTGAGTCTCAGCTGCACCATCCAGGAGACGGTGGCTGGCACTTGTGTGTGCTGTGTGGGGGGCAGGAGGGGGAAACTGAGGCACGGAGGGGCTGAGTCTCAGCTGCACCATCCAGGAGATGGTGGCTGGCACTTGTGCGTGCTGTGTGCGGGACAGGAGGTGGGAGCACACGAAAGCCCAATTTCCTTCCCGGGAGGGGGCATGTGCATGGTAGCTTCAGCCCACGCAAGCCTGGGTTCCTGCATGGCTCTCTGTTTTGCATGTGTCCTGGGTTTGGCTGTGTCTGTGTGTACCCATGACCGACAGCCTGCACACCTGGCATCTGGGCCTCTGTTTGCACCCATGCACCGGTGGCATGTGGCATGTGGGGTCAGGTGTGTGGGAAAGACCTGGACGTGACCCAGGCCAGCAGGTGGGGAGAGCGTGTGGGACCCGGACCTCAGTGCTGGAGGAAGCGTGAGCTCATCAACAGGCTTGATCCCAGAGGGCTGCTGGAGGGCCACTCTCCCCAGACAGCTTCAGAGCCAGGAGGCCTTGTGGCCAGCCTGGGGTGGCAGCGGGGGTTGTCGGGGAGCGGTTGGGGCCATTTAGTTAGTGTCTCCTCTGCCGAGAGCACCATCTCCTCTTGTTCCCATCCCGTGTGCTTCTGCTGATACTCACACTTTAACCTTCCAGCCGCCTGAGTGCCGAGGCCCTGCTGAGTGGGTTGTACTGCACACCGGAGACTCAGGGAAGGCTCCCCAAGGGAGGGGCTGGGCCTTCCCGAGCTCAGGCTGGTTGTAATGCAGACCAACAGGAGAGAGTAGGTGGGCCCTAGGGTCCTGACCCAGCCTGCTGGGGAGGGATGCCGTCTGGGAAGGCTTCCTGGAAGGGGCAGAGGGAGGTATAACAGGAGGCAGGCAGCCCAGATGGGCAGAGGGACAGGAGGCCATCAGAATATTTCCTGGGGAGCAAAGCTGGGAGTGGGCAGGGGACTTCTACACTGAGTCTCAGCAGCCTCTATGGGTACCAGAGTGCTGCAACAGGGAGCCATTGAAAGTTCTGGGAGAGGATGGTTTCTTCACTCTGGAGCAGCCTCCCTGCGGCTGCAGGGCTGAGCCCACAGGCTGCAATTATCTCCTTTAGAACATCGTTGTGTCTGTTTTAGCTGGGGAAACTGAGGCCCAGAGAGGCACAGGAGTCTCTGGCCACCAGCCTCTTGCACCTCTCTGGACCAGGACTGGCTCCTGGCAGGCAGGGTTTCACCGGGCTTGTGGAAGGTGGGGGTGGATGCAATGTCATTTTTGTGTGGGGGTGGCCTGGAGGCAGCCCAGATTGGGCAGGGCTGGAGCCAGAGGAGGCTCAGATTTCCTGAGCAGGCGAGGGTGGCTGAGTCACCGCACCAGTGCCAGGCCTCATGCCCACCTCTGAGGGCCTGGGGCTCCAGCCTTGCACTCTCAGGCTTGTTCTCAGAGAAATCTCAGAGACGGTCCCCCAGCAAACAGCGGGGAACTGCCTGGGGAGGGGTCACAGCCCACGCCAGCCTCCCTGACTCCTCCCCCAGGGAGACTCTTCTCAGCAGGACCCAGGGATCCTCTTGGGGGGACACCAGGGATGGGGGTCCCGAGCTCAGGGCCAACACTCCACAACCCTCAGAGGAGACAGGGCACAGGGACAATTTCCTCCTTGTCATCTTTATCAGGCTGGCAGGTCAGGCCAGGCTGTCTGTGACTGGGGTCAGGGGTCAGAGGTCAGAGAGTGGCTGTGCCCAGGGTCAGGACCCCTTCAGGTGTGTCTGACTGGCCCTTCGCAGGGCAGGACTGCTCATCCTGGGCTCTGGCACACTTTGCAGGGTGGGAGGGGCCCCTTGGGCAGACACTGTAGGGAACTGGGCCTGGTGGAGAGCCCTCTCAAGCCCATGGAAGCATCCTTGGAGGCCCTGCCAGCGGTGAGGCATCAGCAGCCTACCATTCCTCCTTCCCCAAGGGACAGGGTGCAGGGAAGCGCCACAATGATATCTCCACATGAGCCGCCAGCAGGGCTACCAGGCCACCCTGGGCAGGAGGCAGAAGTGGCCCCTTGTGAACCTCCATGGGAGCCAGGTGGACCCATGGCTCCTGTCCTCCACCCTTGGCCTGTGACGCCAAGGCCCTCTCGCTGTGGCAGCTGCAGTTGGGAATCCCATAACGCTGCAATCAAGACTGACAAGCCCCGCCCATCATGGGCAGTGCTGGCACTGTAGGGTCCCCATCCTGAGGGATGAAGCCAACAACGGGCCACTGAGCAGTCCCCGGGGTGGAGAGGGCTCAGGATAATGGGGAACAGCAGATGGTGGTGACAGGCGGGTTCTGCCACCCCTGCTGGTGCCTGACACCGCAGACCTCGTCTGTCCTCCTGAGAGACCCTCGTCTTGGTGCCACTCGAGGATGTAAACAGCCCCGGGAGGCTGGCAGCCGTTTTCTGCCATGTGTCCAGGGGTGAGGTCCTCCCAAGGGGGCCTGCGAAGGTGGGGTGATGCCAGCCAGCTCTGCAGGACTCCCACCTACTCGAGAGGCCAGAGCTATGGAGGAGGGGCAGAGGGGGAGTGCAGAGCTTCCAGATGAGGGGTGATCGGGAGACCTGCAGGCTCCTTCCTGGGGGGTCCAGTGCCCACAGGCCCTCTCCTGCACTCTGGACTTGCTGGGTAGCGGGCAGGCACCTGCCATTGAGCTGGGGTGGGCAGGAGCCTTTCTCTGCCCCAGGGAGAGGTGAGCCTGCATGTCCAGGGAATGTGGGGGCCCCTTGTGCAGCCCTGGGTTCAAGCCCAGCCTGGCGCCTCCCTTGTCTGCTCTGATCCTCAGCCTTGGCCCTGTGGCCTGTGCTCACGGCTGGGAAGGGGCGTCCCTCCTCTCAGGAAGCGCTGGGTCCTGCCGGCCACATCACAGCTCCACAGGGAGGCTCAGCCCCACAGTGGGAACCAAGGAAACTGGGCTGGGGGTACAGGGACAGGACCAGCCCCAAGGCCCACAGCAGTGAGGGGCAGCCTGGGCCCAGTCTGCGGCCTCCTCCTATCTGAGGGGAAGACGCGGACCCCACGGTAGCAGAGCATGTCGGGGCTCCAGGGGTGGAGGCTAGAAGAACCAGGGCAGGCTATGAGACCCTGCAGGGCAGAGCCTTTGAGAGGTGGGTGGGGAAGTACCCAGAGTCCGGGATCATCCAGGCCAGTCTTGGCTGAATGCCTGGAACTCAGCCACAACTGGGGACGTCCAGGGTACCTGGTGCTGTGCCTGGTGCACAGTTAGCGCGCGGCTCTGGGGCTCTAGGGAGTCATCCTAGGGTGGCTGCTGGGACTGCTACCCTCTGGGCTGGCCCCCTCGGTGCCCCAAGGCACCCCCTTATGCCTGCTCAACACTGAGGGTTCCCCCCAGGGCATCTTGTCTCAACATCTGCTCTTACACACAGGGAAACTGAGGCCCAGAAAGGGAGGAAGGCCTGTCCAAAGTCACACAGCAAATGGGGCATGCAGACCCTGGCTGGAACCATGCCTGGCTTGCAGCCCCCCAGTACCCTTCTGTTAAACCCAGTCTCATGGACTGTGGGAAGGGGCACCCACAGAACACTGCCTCATCATGGGGTCTGGCAGGGCTGTGGCCCTGGCCACAGCTGGCACAAGGTGGTGAGACTCAGTGTGGGCTGGTACTGCTGAAGGGGCCCACACGGAAGAAGCTGCAGCCTTGAGCCCCATGGAGCCCAGGGAGGGTCCCCGCAGGGAATGGCGGGGGACAGCAGCGCGGGGCTTATTGGTGAGAAAGCAGAGGGAAAGCCCCAGGCTCCTAAGACCCAATCCGGGAGGGATTGCTGGTGGAGGAGGTCTGGTGACCAGCCTTGCAGGCTCTCCCAGGATTCACACTGGCTCTGCCTGGCCTTGCCATGGGTCCAGGAGCCTGGGGTGAGGTCTGAGTGTGGAGTGTGGAATGCGTGTGGGGCTAGCTGAGTCTTAGCTTACAGAATGGGGCAGCAGGGCCTCAGGGGGAACACTGGGACCAGAGGACCTTGGAACCCGCCAAGTTGGCCCCACCTTTTATACATGTGGAGATGAAGGCCGGAGAGGGGCTTCAGCTATCGAAGCTCCGAGGCAGCTCAGCTCCATGCCAGCCTTCCTGCCACCTGGGCAGGGGTGCCCCTTCACGCCCTGGCCTTCTTGTGGCCAGCCAGGTTACAGCTGGCAGCTGGGCAGGGGTGCAGTTCCCACCATCTGGGTCTCCAGGCCCACCCAGGGCCAGCCCAGGAGGTGCTGGGTGAGTGGTGGGTTCCCCCAGGGCAGAGACAGCAGGAAGAGGATTGCCACCGTGGGGGGCTTCCCGTGTGTCCCGTTCCACCTGGCCTGTGCCTGGACCAGCACTTCTCATCCCGCCCACCTCCTGGTGAGGGTCCTCACAGAGAGCAAGGGGACTAAGTCCCTTCCCTCCCTCGGGCTCACACAGCTGGGCCCCTGAAGAGTCAGGCAGGAACCTGGGAGCTCAGAGGCCAGGCCACTGGGCTCCCACCACCCCGGGACCTTCCACTTGGGGTTTGAGGAGGCGGCCGAGCCTTTGGGGTCTGACCCACGTTGGGGCTGCTGTGGCAATAGACTCCCCAGGGAGAGGGAGAGGGGAAGCCCCGGGACCCTCTCAGGGGCCTGGCCCTGCTCCCTCTCTCCACAGCCTCCTCTGACACTTGGCCCAGCCAGGGAGGGGCTCTAGTGGGATCAGCACAGGTGCCAGAGCAAGCACAGGTCCAGCAGGCTTGGTGGCCGGGGGTGGTGGCCATGCGGGCCCTGCTTGGCACCTCTTATCCCAGGCACTGGAACACAAAACAGGGCAGAGTATGAGGCACTGCTGCGTGGAGCCCTCCTGGGATGTGATCCAAGGGTTGAAACCCCTGGTCTAGCAGGTCAGTCACTCAACATGCAGCGCTCACCGAGACAAGTCTATAACAGCTGCCGCTCACTGAGAGCTTCTGGCGGGCCAGGCACAGGGGAAGCACTTCAGGTCTATTAATTCCCCCAAATAATCTTATAATGGGGCATCCTGTTCCCATCTTCAGAAGAGGAAAGGGAGGCTCAGAGAGGCAAAGTCACTTGCCCAAGGTCATGCAGCTAGGAGGGTGGAGCTGGGACCAGGCCTGGAGTCTCTCAGCCCTTACAAAGCCCCCAAATTGCCAGAGCTTTCTCTCTGGAAGCTCCAGGAACCCATCACCTGGGGAACTGTGACAAGGACCCCACAGCCCGGGAACCCCAGGGGAGAGAGTGTGAGGTCTAAGATCCCTCCTGGGCCCAGGCGCCTGCCCGGGGTGGCCCAGGCCAGCCACCACAAACTGGCCAGGCTGGGCTGAGCTGCAACTCCCTCTAGAGTTGGCCCAGTCCACCCAGGTCAAGAACAGGCCACGTCCCCAGCAGGGCTCGGGACCTGCTTTCTATTTCAGCACTTCCCAGCCCCCGATGGCCCCTTGGGACAGGAATAGCTGTGTCTGTCTGTGTCTGTCTGCTCGGCAGGCCTCAGAGGAGCGGCCCCGGGTACCCGGGTTCTCCTGACCTTGGCTTCCTCGTTGGCCCAGGAGCAGGGAGCATGGATGTCCAGGGGTAGTGTCCGTGTGGGGACGCTGCAGTGGCAGCTGCTGTTCTCTGCCCAACCCCTCCACCTTCCCTCATAGCAATGAGCTTTGGTCACTGTGAGTGGCCAAAATGGCCTAGGCCAGCACAGGCTAAAAGCTACTGGCTGGACATCTGGCACCGGTGGGCAGGGAAACTGGTGACCTCTAAGGAGCAGGACGTGGAGACCCAGGCTCTGAACTCTCTGGCTCTGAGAACAACTTTTAGGAAGTTGCTTGGGTTCAGGGTTTCTGGGACAAGCCCTCCCAAGCACTGGTCACAAGCTCAGGACCGAGAATGTGACCCCAAGGTCTCTCCTCACTGTCTCTGCAGAAGCCTGAGAGCCTTCCCACCTGCACAACTCTGCCCCACTGTTCTCTCCACCTAGAAGGCCTTTCCCACGGATCCAAACCAGCCTCTAGCCACAAGGCCACCTCTTCCAGGAAGCCTGCCCTGACTGGTTTGTCTTAGCCCTGAATTCTGAGGGCAGTCTGGGCCTGGATCAATTGCTGGGATTTTCCTGGGCCAAGTTTGTCTCCAGCCAAATGTTTGACTCCTCTGAGACACGGCCAACGTTTCGCTGGTTTCTTCCTCCTTTCTGTTGCTGAGCATGTGGGGAGGTATATAGTAGAAGCTCAATAAATGCAAATGCCTACTCATTTTAAAAATGGGTGGGAAGGGCAGGGCTCCAGGCTGCCATGGCCCCATTGCAGGCACTTGGGCCCCTTTTCTGCCTGTATAAACTTTCCCACAGAGCCTTCCGGGGTGGCACACACTGCTCTTACGAACAGGAAGTTCTTTCCCGTTTCTAACCTTAGTCCTTCCTGCAGCAGCTTCATCTCATTCTGGCTCCTAAGAGCTGGACCTGCTCACCCTGCCCTCTCCTCCTAGGGGCCAGGAGACCATCTCTTAGTAAGTGAAAGGGATGCAGTGGTCCTGGGGGATGGCGGCAGTGGGATGGACCGCTGATGTTACCTCCACTGTCATAAGCAAGGAAACTAAGCTCTGAGGAACCACCCAGCTACTGAGAGGTGGAGCCAGGATTTGAACCATTCAGGTGAGCCCAGGGCCTCGGACTGGCTCCCATGGCTGTGAGCCTCACATTTCCCTGTGCGGAGACCCTCCTGCAGTGGGTTCCTCCCCTACTCACCAGGGCTGACCCCTACCTCCCAGGGGAGCCCTGGGCAAGTCCCAGCCTGTCTCCTTCCCGACCTGGGTCTGTCCATCTGGGCAGTGGGGGTACAACCCCAGCGAGGCGGTGGAGGAGTCAGGGCCACTATTTATAGAGGCCTGCTGCCTCTGCCGACTGCCTGCCGCCCTGGAGGAGTGCGCGGGAATGGGAGGAGGGAAGCTGTTGTTGGCGGGGTAGGTTACGTTCCGGAAGGCTGGTGCCAACTCTCCCGGTTGGCAAGCGGGGGAGGGCGCTGGGAACCGAGCAAAGGGGAGTGGATGGCACCCGCCAATGGGCGGTCCCAACAGGGTAGGCGGGGCCCTGGCGGGGGCTGCAGACCAGATCTCACGTGCCTCTGCTGAGGCCCCAGCCCAGGACCCCGAAATCCAAACTTCTCTGAGACAGGGAAGCATTTAGGTAGGTTTGACACAAGCTCACTCAGCCGCGTAAACTGACTGGACCCAACCCGAGGGTATTCAGCATCCATTTATCCCTCCCGGTGGGCATACCAATAAGGCTCGTGGCAGAAGTATCAGTGTGTGTGGTGGAGGTGCTTCCCAGACCCCATGGGGTGTATGTGACCTCCGCTAGGTGCATCTCACTGTCTTTCTAAAATCTGAGCCAGACCCTGAAATGCACACAGCCTCAAAAGTTTCTACAAGCCACTGTGAACCTGATTGTCTCCTGCATTTTACAGACGAGAAACCTGAGACTTGGAGAAGGGACCAGCGGGTGGCCGGGACCTGCCCTGGGGGCTGAGACGAGGACTCCTTGGGATCGGAATTCCAGCCCTTGCTGGTGGGGCCCAGTTTGAGGTTGTCCCAAGAGCTATGGAGTCTCTCACTAAGGAAGTACCTTCCCTGTCTCTGCTACCCCCTAAAATCGGCCTGTTCTGTCCTGAGCGGTCTTCCTGGAGGCCTCCCAGGGGAGCTCAGCCCCCACTGGCAGCCCTGGCTCTGCCTAGTTCTGAACCCCTACCGGCTGTTGTTCACTGTCTGGGGCACAGACCCTCTCTGCCTCCAGCCCCATGGGTGCTGATCCAGGAGGGGCTACCTCCTCCAACTCTGTCACTGCTCCTCCAGGGTACCAGCTGAGGCCAGGTCCTCAGGTGCTTTGGAGGTGGGAGTGAGAACTAGGCTCAAAGTCTAAGCCCCGGGCTCAGGTCCCAGCATGGCCCCTGACCAAGGCCAGGGTTTCGTGGCTCAGAGCCTCAGCTGGCTCACTTGGAGTCAAGAGCATTGGACTCTGTCCTGACCAACTCGTGGGGCCATATGGGGGGTCAAGTGTGAGGCCTGGGTCAGGGCTCAGCCTGTGACCAGGGTCAGAGTTCACTGTGTGACCAGGATCAGGGCTCAGGCTGTGACTAGAACCAAGGATCAGTGTGTGACCAGGGTAGGGGACCAGTGTGTGGCCAGGATCAGGGCTCAGTGTGTGAGCGGGATCAGGGCTCAGTGCATAAGCGGGATCAGGGCTCAGTGTGCGAGCGAGATCAGGGCTCATCCTCTGGCTGGAGTCAGCAGTCAGGGTACTCAACCCGATGCAGGTTACCCCCCATCTACTCTGGCCCCCTTAAGAAGGCCTCTCATAGACCAGGTGGCCCTACGTAGGGCATTTCTCATGACCTCTGCGCCTTGTCCCGGGGTGGGGTTGGCGGTCCTCTTTCCAGTGAGGAATAGGGAGGTGCTCAAAGTCCCCTCCCAGGCGCTCCCCACATCCCCTCCCAGGCTCTCCCCACATCTTTCTCACAGTAGAGCTGCTGGGGTCTGGGATCCAGCAGGCCTGCCCGTGCAGGGCCCCAGGCCACTTCCTGCTTATGAGGCGTGTCAGAAGGACAGAGAGCAGGCCCGGAAGGTGCTTAGCTGGTGGGGGCGGCTGGGAGCCGCCGAAGCTCAGGAAGAGGTGAGGGAGCCTGGGTAGGGCAGGCACATTCCTGGGAGCGGCTGAAGCTCAGGGAAGAGGTGAGGGAGGCTGGGTAGGGCAAGCACGTTCTCAGGCTGCAGGGTGGCTGCCCATGGCCGGGGTGCTTTTGGATGGCCAGCTCCCCGGTTCCCATCCTGCTCGGGCCTCTGCTTTTGAAGAGGGTCATGGTGAACGTCTGGATTTTGGGCCCTGTGTTCCCTCTGATGAGCTGGACTCTGGGCTCCAGTCCCCACTCCCCCCGCCCCCCACCCTGCTCTCAGGAAATGAGCCTTGTGCCCAGACTGGGCGCCTTCCCTGACCCTGCGACTCAGGCCCTTCTCTGTGGGGGGCGTGAGAGCCTTGAGCCTGGCAGGAAACTAGGTAGCAGATCCACAAACACAAAGGGACAATTGGCCGTCATGATAGCGATGGTGGTGACGGCAGTATCTTCATGACAGTGGCCCCGCAGCAGGGCACGGAGCCACCTTGTGCTGTTCCTCACAAGGGCCGGCCATGGGGTGCAAGGGCTGCAAGTGAGAAACTCTGCAGACCCCAGCCAGACCTGGGGGAGCCCCGTCTCCAAAGGCCCTGCTTGGTGTGGCAGGTGGGATTAAGGTTGGCGGTCGGTGGAGGAGCAGGTGGGGCTTCCTGGAGGGGAGGGAGGAGAGACCCCACTGGTGGGTGGTGGGAGGGGCAGCAGGTCTCAGGCGGGAGTCACGGCTAAAGGCCAGTTCTGGGTGGGGCCTCCTATCACTGCGGGCAGGGGCAGGACAGCTGGGGATGGGCTACTGAGGGATCGTGTCTAGAAGCAGATGGTTGCTGTGTCCCGCCTGTGGGTGTCTGGGGAGTGGGCAGACTGGGCATGGTCATGGGTAGGGAAGGGGGTGTGGCCCTCTCAGACCCAGCAAAGACCCTGGGGTCCTGGCCACCAGTCCAGCCTCTGTTTCTACCAGACACCTGTGTGTGGGACAGGTGGACAGTCAGGTCATTTGAAAATATTCTCCAAGAGGAAGCTCTTAGAATCTTTCGTCCCTTTAGCTGGGGTGGGTGGGGGGGCAACATCCTTTGATTCAGAGTTTTGGATCTGGGGTCCTGGGCAGCTCCAATGGCTTCACGAACCCCTAGACTTTGTGTGTGTGCAACTGCCCATGTGTGTGCCATGAGGGTCCATTGGGACTGTGAAGGGTCTGAAAACCCACGTGGGTTAGAACCACGGTGTGGTCCGGCCCCGTTCAGTGCAGATGGGGCAGGCAGCCCCCAAAGCCACGCTGAGAGTTGGAGAGTTAGAGCCAGGTCAGCTGTTGGGAAGGGCTTCTCTGCCCCCATGCCCCAGACCCTCCTTCAGGGGCAGATTTCTGTCAGAGAGACTGGGATGGGCCTCAGATGAGCCCCATCAACATCCAAAGAGAAATGGATTGTGGAAGATCCGCCTCACTTGTCCAGCTGACCATGTGTCTATCTGTCCTTCTCCAGGACCCTGGCAGAGAAGGCTGCCGGGGGGCCGGCCACCACCGTGTGGGGTTAGTTCCAGGCAGCAGCGTCCCGGTGGCTTTCATCCTTCACCTTTGTACATCCTGGCCGTGTTTGACATCTTTACGGTGAGCTCGTGCCGTTCTATAAACATACGTCCTTTTCTTCCTTAAAGAACAGCAAAAAGTTGCCTGGAGTGACTGGAAGCAACCCTCGCAGGACATTAGCAAGGATTAGTTCTGGGCGGGAGAAAGCAGGTGACTGTTAATTTCTTCTTTCCACTGATTTGTATTTATTATTAATTTATTTAAAAATTTTAATACAGAAACCCCTCTGCTCTCTAATTGTTCAGTCACTTGCATATCACCATCAGGCCTGTACATCAGTAGAGGCAGAAATGTGTAGCTTAATGCCAACTTCCCTTCCCAGGTTGTGGGTGCAGGGTGACAGGAGGAGAGAAGCCCTGGCGCACGCCTGCCTCATCCCTGGCTGGTCCTGGGCAGGCGTCACCAATCAATGAGGCTCTTGCTCCCCAGGAGCCTGGATGGACACCCCCTCCCCGGCCCTCTGGGCAACCGGCCCAGTGGACCAGCAGAGCAGGCAACATGGCCCCGACTGGATTGGGTCCAGACTCCTTAATTTATCCATGAAGAACCTGAAGCCCAGAGGCATAGTAATTGCCAAAGTCCCACAAGTGTTCAGGGCCAGGCTGCCCCTGGCTCAGTGTTCTTCCTGCTGGGAGCTGGGCCATGGGCTCTGCACTTCCTCACTCTGCATTTGGGTCCATCTGGTTGGGACTGCCAGGCAGGGTGAGGGAAGCCTCCCAGCACTGTCCACCGTCCGGGGGAATACTTAATGTGTCATGTCCTCCACCTGGGCAGGGGCAGGGCAGGGGTGAAACACCTCCCTGCCCACCAGAGCTGCCTCCCCCAGAGTCCCAGACCCAGGAACCAGCCCCCGCCCCACCCTGAAGCCTGCCAGGACCCAGCCCTTACCAAGGGGCCCAGGGGTTGTAGCTCAGAGGCGTGGGATGCGGACCCCCGACCACCTAGCTGGCAGGGGGCAGAGTCCGGACTCAGACCCAGGACCACCCATGCCAGCACACAGCCCCTTCCCCACAGGCGCCTGTGGAGCAAGTCAGGAGGCAGGACACAGCCTTGAGGACTGCAGGTCTGATGAGGACAGTATCTGCCCTGGGGACCCTGATCTGAGGGAGGAGGCAACAAAAAATGACTCATCAACGGGGTGATGGGGACATTTTGGGATGGCAAATTTGGATCTCAACCCGGGCCCCACCGCCTCCCACCAGAAGCAGTTACTTAGCCTCCCTGTGCCTCAGTTTCCCCATCTGCATAGTGAGGACAGCAATGTTTGGGGCCGTGTGAGGAGTAAATGAGGCAACAGTTGTGGTTTGGGTCTGGTCCGTGGCTGTGTGGGGTCAAGTGAGCCCGTGTGTGCCCATGGCTGCCTGTGCATCAGAATCACCGGGAGTTCCCATCAAACACAGACATCCGGGCCTGGCCCAGGGAGGCTGACTTTAATGGTCTGGGCAGAGACCTGGTCATCAGCACTTTTTTTTTTTTTTTTTTCCGAGACAGAGTCTCATTCTGTCTCCCAGGCTGGAGTGCAGTGGCGTGATCTTGGCTCACTGCAACCTCCGCCTCCAGGGTTCAAGCAATTCTCCTGCCTCAGCCTCCTGAGTAGCTGGAATTACAGGTGCCCGCTACTATGCCTGGCTAATTTTTGTATTTTTAGTAGAGATAGGGTTTCACCATGTTTGCCAGGCTGGTCTCGAACTCCTGACCTCATGATCTGCCTGCCTCGGCCTCCCAAAGTGCTGGGATTACAGGCGTGAGCCACCGTGCCCGGCCGGTCACAGCATTTTAAGGACTCTGCCATGATTCTGATGTGCTGCCAGGGTGGCTGTGCCTGAGCCGGCCTTTGGCTCTTGCGCACACACTGAGATGCCGGTTCGAGTGGATACAGGGGGTCAGCCCACTTGTTTCCCACGGCCAGCCTCCAGTTGGGCTCACATTGAGTAACTGTCTGAGCCCAGTCCCAGGTAGACATCGTCAGTTTCCACGTGTTCCTTCATTCACTCAGGAACAAATGGGCTTTACTTTATCCGAGGCCTTGTAGATAATTATTTTTTCCCTCTGTAAACCAAGTCCTGCTTAAATCCCATCCAAATCCCTCCAGCCAGAGCCCATGCTGCCTGCGAGCCTGCTCCCCATCTCCGGCTGAGCAGGTTTGTTTAAGGCTGGGCTGACACTTCTTCTCCCCGCGCCTTGGTGTGTTTACACTGGGGCCATCAGCAGAAACTGCAGGTGCGGCAGGGAGGCTGGAGACAGGGCAGGGACCATGGGGGTTTCAGGGCGTCCTTTCCACACAGTGTCTCAGGTCGCCCTGTTCCCAGCCTCGTCCTCGTTCTCGTTCCCACAGGCGAGGCCTTGGAGGTCACTCAGGACAGGGGAAGTGCTGAGGCGAGGCCTCAGGCTGCTAAGTGGAGTGAGCCCAGGAAGGCTTTTTGAGTGGGGGACGCCCGAATTGGTTTTCTGTGAAGACCAGGGAGCAAACGTGCCTGCCATGGAGTGAACGGCAGGACCCGCAGGGAAAACCTCAGGCAGCGGCTTGAAATACCATGGCCGTCCATGGAGGGGGCTGGTCAGATGCTGGCGGTGTGGGCAGAGGAGGCTCTGGGCCACTGCCTGAGTGTGAGTCCTGCCACCACCACCTGATGGCTGAGTGACCTTGGGCACGTTACTTAACTTCCCCATACCTCGGTTGCCTCATCTCTCAAGGGAGTAATCATATTAACTTCTCAGGGTCATTGCAAGGGTGAAATCATCTAGAGACACAGAGCCTAGAATACCATACTCAGGAGTTTGTGCTCTGCCCTATAGGCAGTGGGGAGTTATGGCGAGTGGTTGAATAGTGCTGGAGCTGGGCTTTCTGAGGGTCTGAGCTCCCAAAGCCTTTTCTGTATGGCTGGGTTGTGAGGCTTTTATATTGTCACTGCTGACCAATCACAGATTGGCTACCCTTCCTCCTGGCCAGTGATTGGTTTAGGGTGGGTTAGCCTAGCCAGCTTTGGGCCAATGACAGGTGACCAGAGGCTTATTGTGGGTTCTGAGCTCCCTCCTGTCCCCGGATAGACAGGCAGCCTTTTTGTGAGCATGAGGGGAACCTGCCTGAGAATGATGGTGGGGAAAATCTTAGAGAGGCACAGCTGGGTGTGGTCACCCTGTCCTGGAGCCCACAGTCCCTCTGCACTTCCCGTTATGTGAGTTCCTAAATTTCCTCACTGGGAAGCCTGGGATTCTGTCACTTGCTTCTCAAAGTACCCAGTGTCCACATGGCAGAGTGTCCTCCTAGAGCCCACATCTGATTGCATCCCTCCCTGCTGAAAACCGTCAGGGGCTCCCACCCCTTGATGAGGAAGCACAGTGCTTCACCCCATAGCCTGTGCCTCCCACTGCGGGTTCTGCCGGCCCCTGACTGTCCTTGAACACACCAGGCACACATCTGCTGTGGGGCCTTCGCGCTGCTCCTCCCTTGGCCAGGAGCATTCTTCCTTTAGGCCGGTCACTGCTCACCTCATTGAGGGCCGAGCTCAAATGTTGGCCCCTCAGGGCAGGTGGGTGGCCAGGACCATCTGGGTTTGCTGCAGCCACACACACCCCTGATTCTTCTGTGGCCTTATTGATGGAGGTGTGGGTCTCGCTCACGCCATGAATTGCTGGTCGGTGTGGTGGGGGATGGGTCTCTTGCTCCTTGGTGGCTCGGGGACCTGAATGACAGAGGCTCCGCCATTGCCTGCAGCCGGTGCTGTCTCAACACAAGGCCTCAGGTCCCCTGTGGTGGGGGAGAGTGGAAGAACAGGGCACCAGTTCCTAAAAGCTTTGTCCCTGAAGTGTCCATCACATTCATCTCTTCTACTCGCATTCCAAGGACCACAGTCAGTGGTGGTGGCCATGCCTAATATGAGGGGGCATGACCCCAAGCCTGGAAGGGGCCTGGCACACAGCAGTGGCTTCCTGGCCATCCAGTCCCCGTGAGCGGTCTCTCCCCTCCACAGCGGCGTCCTGTTCTTATTCGGGAAAAAATGCACATAACACAAAATTCACCATGTTAAAGTATGCAACCCGCCTTCATTCACAGGGTGGAGCCCCATCACCTCTGCTTCCAAAACATTTCCATCACCCGAAATGGGAAACCCCATTCCTCCCGCCGAGCCCTGGCAACCAACAATCTGTGCTCATCTCTATGATGTGCCCACTCTGGGCATTTTGTATAAATGGAATCATGTGATATACAGTCTGTCGTGTCTGGCTTCTTTCACTCAGCCTCATTTTCTCAAGAATCGTCCACACTGCAGCCTGGATCAGAGTGTCCTTCCTTTTCATGGCTGCATGCTATTCCACTGCTGAGATGTGCCACCTTTTCTTTGTCTGTTCATCCAGTGATGGTTGACGGACATTTGAGTGTTTCCTGGCTTTGGTCATTGTGAACAGCACTGCTACGCGTGTTCACATACAAGTTTTTGTTTGAGTCCTGGCTTTTTTTTTTTTTTTTTTTTTTGAGATGGAGTCTCGCTCTGTCACCCAGGCTGGAGTGCAGTGGCGCGATCTCGGCTCAATGCAAGCTCCGCCTCCCTGGTTCAAGCAATTCCCCTGCCTCAGCCTCCTGAGTAGCTGGGACTACAGGCGCCCAACACCACGCCCAGCTAATTTTTGTATTTTTAGTAGAGACAGGGTTTCACCATGTTGGTCAGGCTGGTCTCGAACCCCTGACCTCGTGATCCACCCACCTCGGCCTCCCAAAGTGCTGGGATTACAGGCGTGAGCCACCACACCCAGCCAAGTCCTGGCTTTTAATTCTTTTGGGTAGATACCTGGGCCTCATCCCATTGCATTCCTTCTATAACTGATCCCCCTCCGCAGTTACTTGCTCCCAACGTGCCTCTGTTTCCCTCTCTGTGAACTGGGCATGTTGCTGATCTCCAGTTATGAGCAGTGTCTCTCTTAGGTGGTGTGTTCTGCAGGGAGGGGAAGCAGCCGCTGCCCCTGCACGCGCCTGGCCATGCTCACAGCATCTTCCCGTCGCTCCTTGACTTGTTCACTGACCCCTCCCTGATGTGGCCGGAGGACGGGGCCTGGTATCACCTTGTCCTGTGCAGGCCTGACACGTAGAAGGTGTTTGGCTGATGCTTGCTAGTATAGGAATAAGCTAGTTCTCTAACCTGGAGTTCCTCCCTGTGAGGTTTTGTTTGCAAGAAAAAATCTGCTGCTAAGCCAGCTGTGGAGGCACATGCCACAGTCCTAGCTACTCTGGAGGCTGAGGCAGGAGGAGCGCTTGAGCCCGGGAGTTTAAGGCTGCAGTGAGCCATGCTCGCACCGCTGCACTCCAGCCTGGGCAACAGAGCCAGACCCTGTCTCTTAAACAAACAAACAAACAAACAAACAAACACCCTGCTGCTAAAACATGTGGAAAGTGTGATGGACGCCACACTGGCAGTTTTGCTTCCTCAGCCAGCACCTCCCACATGCTCCCAGGGTCAGAGGTCAGGGATCAGGCTGGCTCCTGGTAGGGGGCTCTGTGTGCCCTGGCAAGTCGCCCCTCCCTGGGCCAGGAGCGAGGTGAGGGTGTCCACAGCAACAGGCTGTGTTTGGACACAAGCGGGGTGGGGCTGCACCACACGGGGCTCTTCCTGTGCCTTATAAATCAGCTCCCAAGAGCATTCCCCAAAAGGAGTTTCAGCTGCTCCCGAGCCCAGGACAGCAGGCTGGTCTCCCCTCCGGTGAGAAATCTCCTCTCCCGTCTACCACCCCAGGAGTTCCCCAGAGAGGCTCGGTTATCCTCCAAGGAGGGGATACTCGCTGCCTTGCCGAGATCGGAATCCACTTTTGCCTGTTCTCTAAGCCCTGCTGGAGATGTGGGAGTGCCCCTGCCCCACAGCCTGTTCCGAACTCACTTGGGCCATCGCCCAGCTCCAGCCTGTCTCTCAGTGTGAACCCCGAGAGCATCTTCTGCACCCAGGTGGATGGGTGGCTAACAGCATGGGCATCAGGGGCTCCTGGCTTTGCTTCCCCGCGCCTGCATTTCCTTGCTGTTTGGCTTTGGGTGATCTGCAGGAAGGAGGACTGCCACCGCCATGGCACGCGCCTGGCCTCTCCACTGGCACCTTCCTGTTGTTCCTTCCCTTGTTCGCCAACCCCTCCCTGATGTGGCCGGAGGACAGGGTCTGGTGTCGCCTTGTCCTGGCACAGGCCTGGCAGGCAGAAGGTGTCTGACTGATGCTTGCTGGATAGAGGAATAAACTAGAGCTAGATCTTGGGGCTCCCTGTGGGGTTTTGTTTGCAAGAAGAAATCCCCTTCTCTGCAGCTCCCTGGGGCTCTGTCATTGCAGAGGGGGACTGGGATGACTGGGGAGGCACGCGCCCTGCTGAGGGCAGCCACTTCTCCAGCCCAGCAGGCTGTAATCCGACATCCACAGGGATTATCCTGGTAACTGGTGGTGCATGGCCCCTGTGCTGAGAGGGCTGCAGTGTGCACGCCCCGTTTAGAGCATCGTATGGGTTCAGCATGTGTCCGCGGATGGGTGCTTGAGGAGCACCTGTCAGACGGGTGCCTGTCAGGCCATATTTTTGGCAATGGTAGCTTCCCGGGAATGAGGGATTTTTCCTGGGATAAAGGCCCCCGTGGAGGGTGGTCAGCAGCCCTGAGGACGTGGTATGAGACCCACAGCCTTCCTTGACTCCAGAGCGGCCAGGAAGCTGGGACTCCAGCAAGCTGTGCTGCCCCCACCAGTGCCTGTGTTCCCTGCATCTCACATGGAGCCTCACTCAACTCCTGTCCCTGAGTGCCCACTGGTGGGGACGAGGGAGATGGCAACTGTGGATGGATCCCAGGCCAGTGGAGAAGACAGACCCACACGCCAGGAGGATGAGGGGTTGTCAGGTTCGGGGGGCCTGGAGGCTGCCTCCTGCAGGCCCTGTCCCACGTGAGAGGGTCGGGACCTCAGGTTCCTCAGCCTGGACCTGCCGTGTCTTGGGCAGCATCCAGTGTTTGGGCCCCACGACCTCCAGGGAGGGTCACTTGTTCTGTGGCTGCCCTCTGTCCCCCACCAGGCTCCCCATGGAGGGCTCAGCATGCAGGCTCAGCACACATCAGGCATGGAGGCCCTGGCCCCACGTTCCCTGCTGCTGGGCAGTGCACAGCCTGCCTGAGCCTGGGTCCCTGGGTGGGGCCAGCTGCCCCCGCCCTCTTCTGGGCCTGGTGGGGACATTTGGACCCTCTGCATTGTTGCATCCCTAGATTCAGCCCTGCTCTGCTCCCTGTGGGGACACCAATCTCCCTTCCTCAGCCTCCCAACAGGCCTCATCTGCTGAGGAACGGGAGGCGTGGGGCCCAGGCACCAGGCCCGTCTCTTGTCCCTTCCCAGAACATCTTCTGCCTCCTCCCCTTCTCATCTTCCCCTTCACCTCCTCCCTCCTTTCTCCCTCCCTCTCTCTCTTTCCCTTCCCCCTCCCTCCCTCTTTTTCCCTTCTCCCTCCTCCCCTTCTTCCTTCTGTTCCTCGCTCTCCTCCCCCTGTCTCCTCTTTGCCTTCCTCATCATCTCTCCTCTCTCGTCCTCAGCTCAGGGACCTTCACTGAATCTGGAAAAAACAGGAGAAACAGCCTCATCACAAATTCTCCAAATTGTTCTTGGATTGAGGGTTGGGAACTTCAATGCCAGAAACAGTGTCATTTTCCTGGTTTGGCAAGGGTCTCTGAGCCCTGTGGGCCCCTCCAGGGTCTAAGAGGTCCCCAGAAAACAAGGTGGGATGAAAGCCTTCTGTCAATACCCTTGCCCAGAGGTACACGTGAGGGCTTCAGGACAGGAGGCAGGAGCCTCACTCCTGGGTCCCTGGTGGGCCAGGGGTACAGGGGAGAGCGGCGTTCTGAACCTGTGTGGGTCGGGGGGTTGGGCAGGCCCCGGTGGAAGGCCACTCCCCACTCTCCCTGGAGACCTCCCGTGGGGTCTCCCCCTCTGAAGATACAGGTTTTCCTAAGTCACACTGAGGGGCGGGCTTGCTGAGGCCCAGCTGGGGGTCTTCCTGCAGACCAGCCTGTCACTCCCCACTTGCCAGTGGTCTGGGCTGCAGCTGGGGAGGGCTTCTGCTCTGGGTCTCAGGACCTGGTGGGGGCAACTCATGGAGCAGGCTCTCCCTGCATTGGTGGGGGTGAAAGGACAGGCCCTTCCAGGCTGATCTCTGGGGGAGGGTCCTGACCCCTGGGAGCCCTGGGTGCTGAGGAGGCCTCTCCCAGGGCCATAGTCTCCATGGATGGAAGTAGGGGGTGGTGGCTGGGCCAGCCCCCGACACCCACCAGCTGCCAGGCCTGCTCTGAGAGTCCCCGATCCCTCCACCACCCTTGAGGCCACACCCAGCTGTGGTGTCCCAAAGCCCTGCTCTTGGGGCGGACAGGGAGCACGGTTCTACTTTCCCCACCAGCCGCTCCAGGCCGGCTCTGCTGGACCCTGCAGTGCAGAGAGGACGGAGCTGGACCCCACCTTGATGGGCCACAGGATGGGGGCACATCAGACGCACGAGAGGTCTCCCTTTGGCCATGCCATGTGTGCGGGAGCCTCAGTCAAGCTGTGAACACACTCAGCCTCAAAGGACTGAGCGGAGGGCCCCGCGCTTGCAGATCGCATCCTCCTTCACCGGGATTGTGGGGTGAGGAGCAGACCCCGGCTGCGGCTCTGCCTCTTGCCCTGAATGGGGTGCTGCAGGGCTGGCATGTGGACGCTTTTTGCTGGAGTATCCCCTGAATCCCAGCAGATGAGGAAGCCAGGTAGGGACCCGCAGGCAGGACCTGATACAGAATTTCAGGGCCCTGGGGCAAAGTGGAAATGCAGGCCTCTCATTCAAAAATGTTCAACGTCGCCCTACAGCAACAGCAGAGCATTCAACCGGGCTGAGGGTGGTGCCCGTGACCTGTGCCCAGCTCGTACCCAGTGCAGCGGCCCTGCCCCACAGGCCCCACGAGGGGGCGCCCGTGTGGCGTGCCTGAGGCCCGCTCCTCGCAAGCTTGCCTGCCCCGACCCTCCCGGCATCCTCAATGCCGCAGCGTGGGTGTCCCGGCCTCCTCACTGGCGGAAGCATCTATGGACGGTGGTCCTCCAGGAGCTGGGGGTCACAAGTGCAATGGCAGGTGCCAGATGGGGCTGAGGCCAGCAGGGCTGTGTGTGGTGGGACACCTGGCCACGGTCACCCCCAGGGAGGCCCCGTCATCCCCAGGAGACACCCTAGCTCTTGCCTGGGACCCCAGCACCAGGCCACAGGGTCCCTGCTGACTCCCCCATCCTCCCTCCGCCAAGGCGCCCCTCCTGCCTGCTGAGCTCCAGCCTCTTTCCTCCAGGAAGAACGCTTGGCCGGCAGGTCCCTGCTCAGATGCAGTGCCTGGGACGTGCCTCCTGGATGCCCCCACGACAGTAGCTGCAGCACTGTCTAGGGGGGCTCCCGCTGCAGGTCCCAGTGATGCCTGGCACAGGTGCTCAATGAAAGTTTGCCAAACTCAGGGGCAGGGGGAGCCAGGAGCGCTTTCAGCTGCCAATGGGCGACACAGCTAGAGCATCCAGGCTTAGGGTAGCCCCACTGCTGCAAAGGTCCCAGCTCAGTGTCCCACCAAACTCCCACACCCTACCTCACTGGTGGTCTCAGAAGTCCAGGTCAGGCACTGCCATACCTCCACCCCAGCCCCCAAGGGGCCGGAGCTCAGCCTGCAGTGGCCTTCCCTCATCCTTGTAGGTGGCACCAGCTGCAGGCTTGGGAAGCCGCCCCACCCTGCCCACACCAAGTCAGGGCAGGCCTGGGTGCCCCACAGAACACAGTGAGGTGGCACTGGGTGGCCTCTGAGGTCAGATCACACGTGTCTTGCTCTCCTGGGTAGCTCCTTGTGGGGGAGGCCAGCCCCAGCACTGGGAGGACACCCAAGCATCCCTACAGAGGGGCGTCTTGAGGAAGACTCTGAAGCAGCAGCTAATAACCTGCATGGCCTGGCCAGCTGGGACAGTGAGAGGGTTCCGAAGGGGATCCCCCAGCCGCAGTCGGGCCCTTGCATGTCTGGAACCCTGGCCATCTGACTGCATCTCATGAGACCCCAGCCAGAGAACCGCCCCGCCCAGCCACTCAGAACTCTTGACCACAGACGCGGAGAGAGAGCAGGTTTTACAGGCACAACTAATACACAAATGAAAATGTCACCATCACAGTAGCGTGGCTGCATTAACGAAACTAGGGGAAGGAGGGAAATGAAAATGACTTTCCCAGCTCCTGCACGCCAATCCCCCGAGTCCTGGCCTCCCTCAAGCCCTGCTTCCTCTTCGCATCAGGGGCGTGGCTGCTTACGCTGGTTCCCTCGATAGCAGAGCCTGAGATAGGGACATTGGTGCAGGTGGTTTATTTGTGATGACCAGGTGAGGGAGCCAACACAGGTGTGTTATGGAGGTCTCAGCTGGTTTCAGGACCTCCTGAGAAGTGTGCCGGACACCTGAGGAAGGTCCTTCTGCAGATGGGAGGCAGGTGTATCCGCCAGAGCCCTGCCACACTGCGGAGGGCTGGCCCTCCTCTGCCCTTCAGGGCTTGGTACACACGGAAGGCAGGCACTGAGGAGGAGGGTCCAAGCTCGCTCAGAATGGGCCACTGCCACTGAAATCAGGGAACAGAGGGGACGTGAAGTGGCCCAGAGAGCATCGTTCCGCACACTTACTCTCTTCCTAGATGTATACTCCTGCACCCCGCTCCTGTTTACCTAACTAACCACTGAACAACAAGCTCTTTTTTATTTTGTTTGACGCTCAGGGCTTGAGGAGGATTCAAAAGGACAGTCATAAAGACATCTACTTCTGCGCAGGCAGAAGCAACGCAGCACTTGACAGCCACCATCTTGTGGGTCTTCCCAAGAGCCCTGTGAGGTTGGAGCTATTACTATGACATTTATAGATGGGGAAACTGAGGCCAGGAGAGGTCAAAGTGTGCAGCCCAGTGATGGGGGCTCAAGAGCTGCTGCTGGTGCCATTAGCCCACCCATGCCCTCCGTGGCTGGATCTAGGTCCCCCAGCCTGGGCCCCTCCTGTAGGGCCCTGCTGGGCTGGAGGAGGCTTTCCAGAAATCCACTTAACGCTGACCTCGTCTTTGTCCTCCTTGGAGCTAATCTGCTAATCCTGCCAGCCCCAGTGGGCCTCACCACTGTCTAGATCGTCCTGCATGGTTGGCATCCCTCTCCAACAATCCCCCACCTGCGGGGGCCTCCTCCTGGCCATGCCTCCAGGGCTGGGCAGGTCCAGTGACTGGGGTAGGTGGAGCTGGGATTCTTTCTGTGGAACATTCCTCAATCCTGGGGGAGATTCTGGAGTCTGGAATTCAGGAGACTGGGCCTGGCTTCTGACCCCACCTTTTCACGGCTCAGCCATCATCTCTGAGGCCCCGTTTTCTCCTCTGTAAAACACGATCACTTTGAGCTCTCTTCCGGCTATGAAATCCCAGGATTCTCCCCAAGCCTGTTCATGCCCGGCCCATTCCACTCACAGCAGTTGGACAGCTCTGGTTTCACCGTGCCTGGGTTTGAATCTTGATTCTGCTTTCGCTTAGCTTCTGCTTCCTAATCTGCAAAATGGGGGTGTCAGGGATTCCTCTGCAGGGCTCAGTGTGGACTTGGTGGGTGGGTGTAAGTCCCTGGCATGTGGTCAGCACTCGGTGAATGTCTGAGAACTGAAATGAATCCAGCATGGAGGAGCCTCCTCCTTTGCTCCCGACTCCCTGCAGGATGGTAAGAGCGTGGGGAGGAAGGAGGCTCCAGCCTCTCGGGAGCCCACTCACCCCAGCAAATTTGGGTGGCTGGGATAGAAACCTCTCTGAGATTTTGGGCAGGAGAGGAGGAAAATAGCATGAAACAGGCAGGGGGTGTTGGTGCTGCTCAGGCTAGATGAAGCCAAACATTTATTTATTAATGCTTTTTTTTTTTTTATCTTTTTTGAGACAGGCTCTCGCTCTTTCACTTAGGCTGGGGTGCTGGCGGGATCAGGGCTTACTCTAGCCTTGTCCTCTTAGGCTCAGGTGATCCTCCCACCTCAATCTCCAAGCTGGGACTATAGGAGCATGCCACCATGACTGGCTAATTTTTTATTTTTTGTAGAGATAGGGTCCCACTATGTTACCTAGGCTGGTCTTGAATTCCTAGGCTCAAGTGATCCTCCCGCCTCAGCCTCCCAAATTGCTGGGATTATAGTGTGAGTCACTGTGCCCGGCCTTAAGCTAAACATTTAAAAAATAAGAATTAAAATGCAGCCACAGTGAAACGGGAAGGGGCTGCTTTTACAGGTGCTGAACTTCCCGGCAATAGAAGCATTTAATGGGAGGTTCCCTTTTTCCTAGGACCTCAAAGCTGGAGTACCAGGGATGTTGCCTTGACCTTCCCATGTGTGGATTTCTGCTTGAACACACCAAGTACAGGACACCCTGTTTAGCAGCTAAACGTGGGAATTGCACCAGCTTTACTCCCAACTTGCTGGGCAATCTTCGGGAGTTGCTGACCTTCTCTGTGTCTCATCAGCAAAACAGGGAGAACACTAGCTCTCCCAACATGGGCTGTGTGAGGACCAAATGAGCTGAGGAGCCCAGATTTGAACCCGGGTCTGCAAGGTTATGTCCTCTGAGCCATCCCCACCCCTGCCCTTAAGGACCAGGGGCCTCTGGACACCATCAGCTTGCCCACCTGTCCAGGATTTGCACGCACCTGCTCGGTGCCAGATGCTGGGCACTGGGGACAAACCAGGTGAGGTGTGGACCGTGACCTGTGTTGTCACTGATTGGGGGACTTTCTGGCAGAGTGGAGAGTGCAGTGGGCTGAGAGACAGGATGGCCAGTGGAGACTGAGCTCTCAGAGGCGGCGGCAGCTGATGGGGACCATGCAATGGGAAGGATGGAGGCCCTGGGATAGTCTGCGGTGAACTTCCAGGCAGAAGGAACAGCAGGTGCAAAGGCCTTTAGCTGGGAAGGAAACTCTGGGTTGGAGGAATAGCTTGCAGGCGCTCTGAGAGAGGCTGGCAGCCAGGTGGCAGGGAGGCAGCCCAGTCAGGTGGTCTTGGGACAGTTTAGGGTCTCTGGCCTTCACCAGTGAGGTGGTGTCTGGAGACTTTTGCAGACGAAGGCAGCTCTCACTCCCATCTTCCCGGGGTCCCTCTGGCTGCTGAGGGTGGATGGGTGGAAAAGCATCTTTCAGGGAAGTGGAGGCAGGGCTGGAGCAGTTGAACATCTGACTGGGCCAAGGGTCCAGGGACTGGCATGGAACAGGGCTGGGTGGGTGAGGCCGCCTGGGAGACCCCAGCTTGCCTCTGTTTCCCCCTGTACTGGGGCCTCCTGCGTGAACCAGCACTGGTTTTTCCAGTAACTGGAGCCACAAGCCTCCCTAGGAACGGCTGACCCATAAGAGGACGTCCTCAAGGTCCCCAAGGGCTAGAGGCTGAGATGCCGCCTTCGCCTGGGCGGGCCTCGCAGCCTGGAGGCAGGCGGTGGTGCAGCTCGGGCAGGCCCCGTCCACACGCCTCCCCGCTCTTCTGAGCACCACGCGTCCCGTGGGCTCCCTACCCGTCCTGATAACACGGCGGTCCGGGGGCCTCGAAGCCGGTCTGACCCCAAGTACCCGGGCCAGGCGGCTGCCGTCTTGTCGCCCCAGCCCATCCCCTCAGCCAGCCCGCCTGGCGGCACGGGACCTAGCCCCAGTCGACTTAGGGGGAAACTGAGAACTCCAGAAGTTTCGTGAACTCCCTGGCTTCGTCCGCATCCCGCCCTCTGCCTCTTCGCTCGGGCTTCAAAACTGCCCCTCCGACGCCCGCCTGCCCCAGGCCGACCTGGCCTAGGCGCCCGGCAGGCACAGGAGCCAAGGTCAGTCCCCGAGGCCGCCCGCGCGACCGGAGCCGCCTCCTCCCAGCCCAGGGGCGGCCTCGGGGGCGGCGGGCGCGCGGCCGCGGCGTGGGGAGCGCTCCCATTGGGCCGTGCCCCCACGTGACCCAGCGGGTCCGGCGCGCGCCCTAAGCCGGTGGAGCCGCGGCCGCGCCTGTGCGCGAGGGCGCGCGCGTCCCGAGCCCTCCACCCGTCGTGCCGGCGCCGCCCGGACCGCCAGGTCAGTCTCCTCCGCGCCCGCTCGGGGCGGGGGCGCGCGGCGCTTTGTGGAGGCGCGTGGGGGGCCGTCCGCGCGCGAGCCCGCCGCCCGCTCCGGGCACGGCTTCGGGGCCGCGCAGCCGGGAGGGCCGCCGCCTTCCCCCTGCCCGCGCGTCCCGGGACCCTGCGCCTGGCGGCCGATCCGGCGGGAACGTGGGCCTGGAGGCTGCCACGTGCCGGGGCCGAGCCTCAGGAGGCCGCTGTTTCCCCAGGCGAGCCACAGAACACCCCTGGCTGGAAGGGGGTGACCCGCTCCCGTTTCTGGGTGCGCGGGAGACCTCCTACCCTGAGTTCATCCTGCGCAGGGTCCCGCCCAGGATCTGGCTCTGCCCCCATTCACGGCTCATTTTCCTCAGCTGCACAGTTTGGGGGGCTGGAACCCCACAGCCTTCCGTGCCTCCAGGGCGGGTCGTAGATGTCAGTGGAGGTCAGGGGAAAGCAGAGCGTCAGGTCTCAGGCCGGGTGGAGTCCGCCTCAGACCATACCAGTGTTGGGACTCGGGCGGCGCCTCAGCCCTCCAAGCACACCCCGGTAGAATCAGGTCAGCAGCCTTGATCCACGTGCCTCAGGGATTAAACGGGTGACTCCTGACACGCCCCTGGGCAGCTGGTGGCCCAGGGGTGGGGTGGTGGCATGCTTAGCTCCAAGTGGGCAGAGCAGTTTCACCCTGCCGGTTCCCGGAGGGAAGCCCTTTATGAGGGAGGCTTCCCTGGCCCTCTGTGATAGCGGCTCCAAGGGCAGCGTGAGGTCCAGGCTAGCTGGTCACAGTGTGTGCCCGGGCACCCTCAGCCAAGACAGAAAGGCACGTGCTGCACCCCCTCTCTCTGCCTGCGGGCTCTGGGGTGTGCCCCGCACACGATGGTGGGTGTTGGGCATCCACCTAGTCTGTGGACCCTGGGGGCCCTGCTCCCAGGTTGGAGCAGTGTCCTCGGCTGCAGACCAGAGGAGGTCACTGAACACAGGGTGCCTGTGGCCTTGCACAGACAGAAGCCGCCTGGCAGCCCTGTGCAGAGCCGTGCTTCACTGAGTTCCTGCAATCCTCCCAAGAAGTTCGTTAACCCCATTTCTCAGATGAGGAGACTGAGGCCCACAAAGGTGGAGTTGGTGCAGCCCCTAGCCTGCGGGGCTAAGCAGAGCCTTGTTGTCCCCATCTGCAAAGGGGGCGTTGGAGCTGCTGTAAATGGGCCCCGAACCTGTCACCTGAGTGGAATTAGGCATTGGGGATCTCCCCATCACCACGCCGGCCCCCCTCACTGTGGTTACGAAGGAGGAGAAGCTGCCCTGTGTAGGAATTCCTGGGCTGTTTCCAAATAGCCCCGCTAGGGAGCTGGTCACCCCTCAACACCCCCAACGTGTTCTCCAAGCACTTACTCTGTGCCAGGCCCAATGCTGGACCTGGAGATGGGGCATGGCTGGCTGGCTGAGCGGGGCAGGTTGCGGACAGGCCCCCGCAGGCAGTCGGCGTGATGGGAGAAAATGCAGGCGGGGATGAGATGCAGCCTCCAGGTGGTTTCCTCAGCTGCCTGCTCCTCTCTGCCTTTGCCCTCCTCCCGGAAGCTTGCGCTGACCACTGGAGTAAGGCTGGGGGCCTCAGCTGGTCCCCTCTCTGTCCCAAGTAACAGCCCAGAACATGGTGAGGGTGGCTGGCTGATGCAGTCAGGCACTGGACATGGGAGGCAGGAGGAAGGCCGGGAGGTGGGCAGCTTTCTCAGACAAGTGGGCAGTTTGGATGGCGAGGAGGTCTTGGAGGCACCATGGGTGGCTGGGCTCAAAGATGACATGAGGGCATGCTTAACAGATGCTTAACCAAATCCTGAATTGGCATTGGCCAATTTCTGTGGTGTAACTACTCCCAAGCTACACAGACGTGACTTTACTGGCTGAGGACTTGGGCAGAGGTGCACACAGTCAGACTGAGAGGGGGGCATAAGCTGGTGTGAGCCCTCCCTCTCACCGCCAGGGTGGGCAGAGTGTCCGCTGGTGCCCAATGCCTATGCACGTGACCTCCTTAGGGACTTACATCCAGATGGCGGTGATACAGCTTGGGGAGGCCTCTCCCTGGTTGGCAGGTCCTGGCGAAAGGGTGAGTTAAGTGGAAAGTGTACCAGGCTGGTGTCCAGGTGGCATTTGGCCAGAGGGGCTGAGCTGGGAGCTCCTGGGCCTGGGGCTGGCAGATAGTGGTGATTTTTCGCCCCCCAAGACCTTGGGCTTGCCTTGTTCCATGAAGGTCCCAAATCTGACCAAAGGCTGTAACCAGATGGTCACTGTCCCAGACCACCCCAGGGCGCTTTCTCACCTCGAGAGCACCGTTTCTCCCCACCTCCACCCTGGCCGCCCTTGCTGTCACCTACTCCCTCTGGTCCCTGGCACCCCTCCCTGCCTGCAGTGGTGTTTCCTAGCAAGTGCAGCAGCCCGAGGCTGGGCTAGAGGCAGGAGGGCCTGGCCTCCCAGTGTCTTGCTGGATACTTGGTTTCTTGCCCCTCCGTTTCCACACCTGTAAAATGGGAGCAATGACAGGTCTTCCTGGCAGGACAGTGGTGAAGCTTGGTCACACGGGTGAACATGTGTGAGGTAAAAAAGACTTCCCATCCCTCCTTCTGACCTGGACCGGCTCGCAGGACCCATAGGCAGGGACCTGGGCAAGGTCCGAGGGCCGATGAGCCCCGTCCTCTCTGCACAGTTCAGAGTTGGGTGGGAGTGGCTGTGGGCTGCAGGAGGAGGTACTGCACTTCGCACAGTTACGTGGTCGGGTTGGCATCGCCGCCGCCTGACTTCGGCGCCCCGCGAGTTGGGTGTGTGCGGTTGGGGGCGGCCCAGAGTGTGCCCCACGCCTGCCAGTCGGGTAGGCCAGCCTCCCTGGAGAGAGGGGGGCCTCCCCAAGGTGGGACGGGGACAGGGACGGGTGCTTCCTTCCACCCAGGAGCCTGAGCAGAGGGTGGAGGGTCCTGGCAGCTACCTACGGCAGCTGAGAGCTGCGCTCTTTAGCCGAGCGGGATCAGGGCTACGTGGACACAGCCCGTGCCAGTGTGGGTGGGGCACGAGCTGTGGGTTCCGATGGCCCAGTAGGCGTTCACCTGGCAGAGAGTGTGCGCGTGTCTCCCCTCCTTGGGGCGCCTCAGGTCAGGACCCTGAGAACCTCACTTATCCTTTGAGCTGCGCCAAGGCTGTTGTACAAAAGACAGTTCAGAAAATAAGGACAGGCTGTTCCTCCCAGCCAAGGGTGTGGCCCTAAGGACCCCTAGGTGGGGCATCGCTTCCCGCCAGGCACGTGCCACTCAGTCTTGGGCTGCTTTAGTGGCAGCCTCCTGGTTTGGAAGCGGAACTGAGGGTCAGGGATGACCACATGGCTCAGGGCTCAGCTGGGGTCCTGAGAGTGGGCCCTCAGGTTTACCTTCCTCCTGGAGGGGAACTGGGGGCCATTGCCCAGTGCACCCCCACTTCCCCTTAGGTGCGTGGGCCACCCCTCCCTCCTGCAGCCCCCGTTCATCTACCCAGGATAGGTGCATGGGCCACCCCTCCCTCCTGCAGCCCCCGTTCATCTACCTGGGGAAGGTGCGTGGGCCACCCCTCCCTCCTGCAGCCCCCGTTCATCTACCCGGGGTAGGTGCGTGGGCCACCCCTCCCTCCTGCAGCCCCCGTTCATCTACCCAGTGGGGATGTCCCCTGGCTCCTCTCCTGGCATCTTCCCGGGATGTAGGGGTGCTCCCATGCCCCCCGGCTCCTCTCCTGGTGTCTTCCCCAGATGTAGGGGTGCCCTCATGTCAGGGCTTATGCTTCTAGAAGGAGTGGAAATGCAGCACAGTCATTGCTGTTGCCTGCCAAGGGCCACCCTGGCTGGGGACAGATGGGGCTGCCTCCCCTCTCCCACCCTGTCCTGGCCACCTGCCCCCGCCAACCCTGCCACTGGCTCAGAGGAAGCAGGCCTAACCTGATGTGTAACCCCCACCCCTGCCGTGACTGTAACCCCGTGCCATGTGAAGGTGGGGCTCCTTGGCAGTGCCTGGTGATTGCGGTACAGCCAGAACCGGCCCCATTATCTGGGCTGTGGGTGCCATTGGTCAGGACCGTGATGGACTCATACGTAAAACTTGATGCATTTTAACTCCCTTCATCCTAGAGGATTGAGACCTCTGGCGGGTAAGTGTTCATATTACCGTCCTGCCCTAGAGCCAGGGAAGGACCCTAGGGGAGAAGTGACGTGCCAGGGTCACTGCTGGGAGGAGAGCAGGAATTTGAACGCTGGCCATGCCTCCTTTTTGGGGAAAGGTCAGTAAATGGGCAGGGGAGGGTGCTGGTCATTTGGGTGATGGTGCCAGTGGGGTGAGCAGCTCCAGGTCATCAGGTGGTATGGAATCTGGCCCCGGGCAGCCCGTCCAGCATTCCTCTCTCACCGAGCCCACAGCCCTGGAGCACCTACTGTGTGCCTGCTCTGGCCCACTGGGAACAGGACAGTCCCGAGCCCTGCCCCGAGGAGCTGGCGCCAAGTGGAGCAGCTGCACCACAGGCACACGGGGGACAAAGGGCACCGCTGATGATTTGGCCAGGAAGAGATGAGGTGGGGATGGGGGCTACAGGGTGGGGAGACGGTGGCCTCGGGAAGGGCTAGCTTGGCCACGCCAGCTTGGTCATGTCACCTTCTGAGTCTCAGTGTTCCCTTCTCACGTGGGACAAGACCACGCATAACCCGAGGGGCTGCATGTGTGGAGCCGACAAGCTGACGTGCGGGTCCTGAGTGCACTGAGCCCGCTGGGGTTCCAGACACAGTGGATGAACGATCCAGGGAAGGAAACAGCCTGGGCTGTGCTCTCTGGGACCTGCCCTTGAGCCAGGTACTCCTGTGGGAGGGTAGCCGGGCTGGCTGGGGGCCTGGAGCCCACAGCCTCTCCTCCCTTGCTGTTTTCCCGGCCAGGGAGGAAGCCAGGCTGGAAGACCCCAGAGGGCTAGGGGGATGAACACAGGTTGATCTGTGTTGAATTTGGCTCTAGCCACCTCCTCAGGGCCAGAGCGGCTCCTGGAGCCGGAGTGAGAGCTGTGTTACACGCAGGGAAGCCGGGGCTCGGGGAAGGTGGCTGCCAGGGTGTGCAGGGCTGTGCCAACCTCATCCTGGTGGGTCCCTGTGACAACAGGACAGGCTGCCTGCCCATTGTACAATGAGAGGCTGATGCTCTGTCACTTCATGAGGTCACACAGGCTCCAGGCAGTGGGGGGCTCTCTGAAGGAGGTCCCAGTGACCTGAATGGAGCCCCCGGGTGGGCTGAAACTTCTGCCTGTAAGGCCTGTCCTGGGTTGGGGTTGGGTGGGAGAGGGCAGGAGTCCTGCTGGGAAGGGCCTCTGCCATGCCCAGCTCCTACCACAAGTACAGAACAATGACAACTCCGCCACCTGGCTGCCCCACGCTGGGCACATGCTCCCCGCTGGCCTCAGTTGGGAGTCCAGTGAGTCAGGAGGTGAAGGTGGGGTGCACGTCCCCTGCAGACCCTCACAAGGCAGGTGGCGGGGCGGGTATTGGTCATGAGAACCCTGCCTTGGGGCCTGAGTGCCTCGGTGGCTGTGGAGCCTGGTTTCGACCTCTTTGGGACCAGTGTTCTTGTCCATAAAAGGCAGTGATCTTTCTGGATAGTTCAGAGAGATTCTGTTATCTTTGCCCATCAGAGCTGGAAGGGAGTTGAACAAAATGTTTTGCAGAAATTGGACCTGAGTTGGGCATTGCTCCTCCTGCTGCCCCTGGTTCTGAGGGCTTGGCACCACTAGCCCGCTCTCTGTCCAGGGTCGGCCCGGCTCCTGCCTTTATCATGTGTGAGCCTCGCTGTGTGTGGCTCAGTCCTGGACGGGCCGAGACCTGGATGCAGGACCCTGGACAGTCAGCGCAGGCGGAGCAGGGAGGGAGGCGTCTGCCTGAGGCCTGCTTGGAGGTGCCCAGGCTGGAGCCCTTGGCCCTGGAAGATGTGGTCAGGGCCCAGTGGTGTTGGGATGGCCAAGAAGAGGGCCCCTGTGCCTTCTGCCCAGGGCTTGGCCTAGCCAGTGCTCAGGGTTTATTTGCTGGATGAGGGGTGGAGTGGGCCAGTGGGGCCCAGGTCTCCTGCTAGGTGACCCTCAGAGGTGGGCATAACATCCCTTGGAGTCTCTGCTCTGCACTTGCCAATAAGAGGCTGGACCATTTGAGTGGTTATAAGTTGGGAAGCACTCCCTGATTGCTTGGTTCTGCTTGAGGCACAGCCTCCAACTCCCAGAGATTCCAGCACCCCTGCAGGAGCCAGCGTTGCTGATGTGGGCAGACGGGCGTCTGGGAACACCCCAGACTCAGCATACTAGGGTTCAAGTCCCTGACTCCCATCCTGGGGCATGGAGTGGCAGGAACCAGGGAATGTTCTAGAGTGAGGTGGTGAGGTGGAGCAGGGCCTGCGGGGATCAGATTTCCCTGGGGTGGGGTCCTGGAAATAGGGCATCAAGAGGAAGTCTCTAACCCTGGGAGTTGGAGGGTCTCGGGTCCATGGCTGAGGGTGGATGTGCTAGAACTGGACTCTGGAACCTGAAGACCCCCGGATGAGGGTGCTCAGGGCCTGGCTGGGGAGACTCTTGCCTTGTTCTCCCCAGTGTCCAGGCCTGGGCTGCCCAGGGGACACTTCAGTTGATGACGTCATTGTCCAGGAGGCTTTTCTCTTGGACCTCAGTTTCCCCTTCTGCAGGATGGGCTGGACCCACTCTGTCTAGCTCTACCACCCCCTAGTCCCTCTGGGGAGCTGCAGGAGCCTGTTCCCACGGCCTCGTCCTCACCCGCCACGGAGACCTCGAAGCCAGGCCTGGCCCAGCTAGAGGAGGTGACGGGTGGCCCTGCCCTGTCCCTGTCCCCATCTCAGTCCCCTTCCCACGGGACCGGTGCTCCCGGCTGCTCTCCTGGCCCTGGGTCCCTCCTGTGACTCAGGCTTCCTGGAAGAGGCTCGGGAGGGCTCGGAGGATTCCCCGCCACCCCACCCAGGGTTTCTGCCCGCCTGCCTCAGGTCCCTGTCACCACCCCTCCTGTGGCACACGGTGTGCTTTACCTGCTCATCCACTCCGCCCTTGCCCCTAGAGCCGGTGCCTCTTACTCCTGGCACCCCCACTCTGGCATCTTCTACTGATGCCTGGAACGCTGGCCCCCTCCTCTGGCTCGCCTGGTCCTGGGGCCCCTGCCAAGGCAAACATCTTCTCCTTTAATCTCCCCGTCCTGGGTCAGCCGCAGAGGCCCTTCCTCCCGGGCTTTGCTTCCCTCTGGCCAGCTGCCCAGAGGCCCATCTGCTGGGAATTGCCGTGTGGAGCTCAGGGGGTCCCTGGGGGTGCCCGGGGCTCCCGGCTGCCCCTCCCCTCGGTGGCCTCCCTGTCCCCTCCGCATGGCCCTGGGGAGCTACAAGGCCTGGCCCTGGCTCTGCCGACTCTCCCTGCTCCTGCCCTTTCTGGGCCTCCGTTTTTGTGTCTGGAGAATGGGGAGCCTGGGGGAGACCCCGGCCCCCACAGCAGATGGGTGGGATCAGGACAAAGGCCTGGCAGCTGAGCTCCAGCCACCTGAGCCAGGCTGCTTGCTTCTGAGTCGGTGACTGCAATGGATGGACGGGGTCCTGGTGGCATGCCCTTTACTCTCTTCCAGGCCTGTGACCTGGGGGAGGGCTGTCCATGGGTGCCTCAGTTTCCCTACCTGCCAGGTTGTGTTCTTGGGGCAGGCTGGGGACGTGCAATGGCAGCACTGCGGGACCCACAAGGAGCTCACATGGGGGAGAGGCGACATTTGAACAACGCTTCAAACATGTAGTTATTGTTTTCTCTTTTTTGAGACGGAGTCTCACCCTGTTGTCCAGGCTGGAATACAGTGGCACGATCTCAGCTCACTGCAAACCTCCGCTTCCCAGGCACAAGCGATTCTCCTGACTCAGCCTCCTGAGTAGCTGGGACCACAGGCATGCGCCACTATGCCCAGCTATTTTTTGTAGAGATGGCATTTCACCATGTTAGCCGGGCTGCTTCTCCTGGACTCAAGTGATCCTCCTGCCCCAGCCTCCCAAAGTGCTGGGATTACAGTGTGAGCCACTGCGCCCGGCCCACCACTGTGCCTGGCCTGCCTCTGCGCCTGGCCCACCTCTGCGCCTGGCCCGCCTCTGCACCTTGCCCACCACTGTGCCCGGCCCACATCTGTGCCCGGCCCACCACTGTGCCAGGCGCAAACGTGGTTATTGTTTTAGACACACATTTGGTGATGTTCATTATAAAAATTCAAACAGCCTGGGAAATACACGGCTGCAGTAGCTCTGGGCTTCTGCTTCATTTCACAAGAACCGTGCCGGCCTCGGGTGCTGTTTTACAGTGTCACTTGAAATTTCCCTGGGTGTTGACTGGGGTCCTCTCCCGATGGCACCCTTGGACCCTGGTCTCTGGGTCTGGTCAGATGCTTGTTTATTAACCAGCCATCCCCCCACCCCCATGATGGGCTCTCCTAAGTGAGGCCATGGACAGCCAGGATGTGCGTCTCGGCACCGGGGTGAGTCTTTCTTGGCCCGCTGGCAGAACCCTGGGTCAGATGGGAGGGTTGTTGGTGCCCGGCTGTGTGTCTGCCAGCCCCTTCATCCCTATCCTGGCTGCTGTGTAGCTCCTGCCTCCCCATAACTCTTGGGGGGCTGCCCGGGTCCACACTGGCCCCGTGGGGATGGCAGTAGGCAGAGAGGGGCGGTCCTGACCCCAGAGAAATCCCATGGGTGAGTAGGACTTGTAGGAGATGGCAGTTCCCTCCCTGGAGCATGTGTCCCCAAGACTTAGAGGTCGTGGTGGGGCAGGAAGCAGGTAGTCAGGGTGGGCTTTTGGGAGGAGATGGCATCACAGTACGGAGGGAGTCATGCACGAGGCACCAGGAAGGGGCAAGCCGGGTGAGGACAGGCTCCTCCTGGGGACCCAGGACCTGACGGAACGGCATCACTCTTAATGGCACCGTCGCGAGCCTCTTCTGGGCCAGCAGCCGGAGCTCACCCAGGGCACATCCTTAAACCTCAGGGTCCCCTGGTGGCAGCTGCCATGGTCGTCCTGTTTCCCAGGGAGGGAAGCTGGTGTCTGAGGCTGGCACTCTGCTAGGTAGCACAGTTGGGGAGTGGCAGTGCTGGGATGGAAGACAGACAAGCTGGCACCTGCACATCTGCACGTCCTGTCGTTGAGGTGACCTCTAGCCAGCCAGCTCATCTGCTCCTTTGCAGATGAGGCCAGAGAGACGGGAGTCTCTGGTGTGGAGGGGAGGGCACTGGGTTTGGTGGGCTGGCCCTGGGGTAACTTGCCTGCCTGTGCTTCAGTGTCCCCCTCTGTAAACAGGGTGTGACGTCCCCCCGGCCATGTCGGAGGCTCCGAGAGGGCAGCGGGTCCATCTCAGCAGATGCTCTGCTGACGGATGCTGCTGGCTGGCCCCTGCTCCCACCCTCCCCTCCTTTGGTAGCCTCCCTGGGCCGGGCTGTTCCCACGGCTGCCCAGCCACAGGAAGCCATCTGGAGGCCTTGTTTACCCCTCCCCCTGGCCTCCCTGGCAGGAAGTCACCGGAAGGGCCGTCCCGAGGGGCCCCGGGCCTGTGAGGACAGCCATCGGCTCAGAGGTCTGTGCTGTGGAGTCCCAGGATAGCATGCGGGGGCAGGGAGCTCAGAGAACAGCAGGTGGAGCGGGGCTCCAAGGCACTGGAGCACGTGGGCCGGAGCATGGACAGAACCATTTACCGAGCGCATCCATCTGTCCATCCACACAGTCACCTACCCCTCCCCCGCTGTGGCCCCAGCAGGGCCCAGTCCCATGAAGCTCACAGTCTCAAGGCATGGACGAGGCCACTCCAGCTTCAGCCCAGGGGGGCCCCGTGATGCCAGGGCCATTCCTCCAGCTCCCGGGATCCCACACCTCCCCTGATATCACACAAGCCACCCTGGGTCGGGGCTGGAGGAGGAGACCTGGGCAGCAGCTGGGGTGTCCAGGAGAAGGGAGTTGGGGAGAGGGGTGCCAGCAGAGGGTGCAGCCTCTAGAAACATTGGAGGCCGCCCTGGGTGACGGGTCTGAGGCTGCAAGGTGTGGGTGGAGCAGGTGAAGGGAGAGGTGGGCAGGCACAGCTGGCAGGGGCTGAAGGCATGGATGGGACCAGTCGGGGTACTTGTGGCCCTGCAGAACCCCTCTCTCCACCACCTCCTCCAGCCCTCTGGCGCCCTGCTCAGGGAGGGCTCCCCCAGATAACCCTGTAGGTCTGGACCCTCCTGGAGTGGGCTCAGGGGCCTGGGTTTCCACTCCACAGGATGGGTCCAGCTGCCCCGGCATTTGTGGCAGCCCCAGTGCCCACTGACAGGCCTGAGTGTAGCTGGCTAGGCCCAGGGCCTTTCCCACAGACACTGCCAGCAGGGACTACCTGGCCCTAGGGGGATCTTTGACCTCCGTGGGGCCTTGCGCCCTGTGTTCTTGGCGGCCTCGCGCCTGTCCCGGCCTCCTGCCTTCGGGAGCTGGGTGGAGTGGGGGCAGGCAGCCCTGCCCCCGCCCACATGGGGAGGCTGAGGATTGGCCCTTCCGCCTCTGGCTACCCCTCTTCCCCTCCCCCATACCTCCTGCTCCCCTTTTTCCTCACTTTCCCCCCACCCCTCCCCCCTGCTTCCGCTTTCTCATCCCTTTAGAAGGTGCCTACTCATGATCGTCTTGAGTAAAGCCCTCCCTGAGAGTGTCTTGGGGTTTCGGGCCTGGCAAGCATCCCCAGCCTCCCCTGAAGAGGAAGTGAGCGTGAGAACCGGGCCTTTGGCGGATCCAGGTGCCTGCGGGCAGCCCGGGGGCTTGTTTGTTGGGTGCCTGGCCAGCGGGCCGGTCCAGAGCAGGAATAGATGTCTCAGGAGGGTCCCTGGCTGGTCCCAAGCACCTCCTGTGTGCACCAGGGCCGCTGTTCTTCCGTCCAGCCTCCCAGCAGCCCTGGGGTGTGGGTGCCTCTGATTCGGAGGGAGTGACGGGACTTAGGGTTAGCCAGCTCCCCAGGTCAGAGACGCAGAGCCCTGGGCCAACCCCAGGATGAGCCCCATCAGCCTCTCCTTCCTGACTCATTCAAGATAGTAAGTGAAAGAGGGCATGCAACCAGCACGCAGCCCCAGAGGAAGGCTGCAGCGGCCTCGCGCGGGGCCAAGGAGGCTGGGCACCGTGTGTGCCGTGGCACTGCCCTCCCTGGTGTTGCTGATGCTGCTGAGATGGGAGAATGTTGTGGGATTCTGGGGGAGGCTCTGGTCTGAGAGTCCCGAGCCTGGGGAGATGGCCTGGCTGGGCCCAGGCTGGCCACAGGGGCACCCCAGACTTTTTTCCTGGGCATGGTGTACAGTAAGTCCTCACATCACATCATCCATAAGTTCTTGGAAGCTGCGGCTTTAAGCAAAACGATGCCAGTTTTAAGTGAAAATTGGTTTAAGGACACTAGTGTTCCCATAAGTTGATAGAGATAGATAAGAGTTAAGTTCCTGCCAGGTATTTCTGGTCACAAAAACGTCACCAGGCTTCCAATGAAGACCCCAAACACTTCTAACATTAAACACTGAAGTAAATGTGAGCTACACATACATGTAAGAAAAGTGAATTAAACAGGGAAGAGAATTGCTTCCCCAGCTTTCCGTGGGCCAGTGAGTGGTAACGGAACACACATCTCACGGCAACCATGGTCGGGAGCTCCTCCTGCCACCACGCACTTCAAAATCAAACGATCACAAACGTGGCGGCTTCCTGTATTGCCACGCATTCGTCTGACTATGTCTATTTGACGAATTTTTATTTTGCAATAATTTTTATTCATTTATTCATTCATTTTCCAACCCACTAATTCCAGTGCAGGGTCATGAGTGGCTGAGCCTGTCTCAGCAGCTCTGGGCACAAGGTGGGACCTGACTCTGCTCAGGACACCATCCCCTCTCGGGGCACACTCCCATGCACAGCCACACCCACTCAGCCAGGGCCACGGCGACACGCCTGTTCACCGGATGTGCACAGCACTGGGGTATGGGGGAGCCGGAGGACAGGGAGAAAACCCACACAGACCTGGGGAGCTCGTGCACATGCCACGCAATGGCCCTGAAAGGGAAGCGATTTTTTTTTCTCGTCAGCGTTATCACAAAACCACGTTGAAAGCAACAGTGTTATTTGAGGAGCTGCTGTACTTGACGGATGGTGCAGGACAAGGTGGGCCCTCTTCGGGGCCTCTGCGCCTCTCCCCCTTTCAGGGGGTTGGGGTAGAAACTGGATCAAGGATAGGGGACTCTCATAGGATTGGAGGGTCCATTGGGGCAGGGCCCCCCAGCAGCTGAGGGCCTCTCTCCCCCTGTCCTGGGGTCCTGGGGTCTCTGGCCCCCATGAGTCCAGCTCCTGATTGCTCTGCCAAGTTTGCTGTCATGCCAGGAACTAAGCCTTTCTCCTCGTGAGCTCTCTTGCACCCACAGTATAGCCATGGTATTCAGTAGGTGCCCAGTAAGTGTGGGCTGGTGAATGGGCCTCCAGGGAGGTGGGATTTGGATGGACAGAATGGACGGGTCCTTGGGAGGTGGTACTGAGTCAGCAGAGGCTTGGGGGCAGAGCATCTCTGCAGAGGCAGGGGCTCCATCCTCAAGGACCCCCTGAGGGCCTCCAGGAGGAGGCAGCCATGGGGTGCGTGGGGAAGTAGGAGTGGCAGCTCTGAGTCAGCTTGTCCCAGCTCTGAGCTCCCTCCCGCACCTACCTGTCTCCACTGTGGGGGCCACACAGCCTTTACATATAAAGGGCATGGAGCAGCGCCTGGCACTCAGGCTGCCAGTACCACCAACTGGCAGCACTCATTGGGCACTGACTGTCTACATTGCCAGGAGTGTTCAAGAAGTAATTTAAACTGCCAGAAATCCTCATCCCACGGCATTAACTGACACCTGCTTTGGGCCTGACCCTGTGCCTGATCCTGGGGACCTGGCATGGGTCAGTCAACGCTCCCTGTCTGCCGCCCACAGTCCATGACAGGGACAGACAAGTCACGAACAGGGCTGCAGGGGCTGACCCAGGAATGAGCAGGACCTCTCTGGGACTGTTTAGGGCTTTGGCCCCCTGGTGAGGGAGCAGCGAGGCTGTGGGGACCCAGGTCCCTTGGGCCTTGCATGCCTGGCTCCTGATCCTGTGGGCCCCATGCAGAAGTGGCCCCCAGTTCTTTCTGGGTGCTTGGCATGTCCAGTCTTCCTTGGGGGCTCCCCAGGCAATTTTGGCTAGACACCCAGCAGACGCTCCTTCCTCCAGGCCCCCCAACCTCCGGGTCCCTGAGGTCGGAGCCAGTTTTCCCCAAGACCACCCAAGCAGTGACTTTGGGTCCACCCACAGATGCCCTGGTCACTGTGTTGCTGGGAGTGCTTGGGTGAGAAGGAATGGCTGCGGGCGGGTCTTCCTTTCTTCATCCTCAGCATCCTCATCCATCACTGAGGATGCTTGTCTCTGCCTTACTCCCACTCACAGGACAGTCGAATATGTTCACACATCCACTGAGCCAGCACCTGCTGTGTACGGTGCCCATTGAGAACCAGGGAGCCGAGGGTGGAGCTGTGGCCGGTCTCTTGTCCTGCGTGGGGAGAGAGGCTGACAAGCTTTGCCAGAAGGGGGACAGATGATCCCTACTGTGTGTGGGGGACAGAGGACAGGTCTCGGTGGCTAGCAGGAGGAACAGGAGGATGCTGAACCTGAGATCCGAGTGGTAAGAAGGGGCCAGCACCGGACGATGTGGGGACAGAGCATGCTCCTGGCCTCCAGCACAGGCAGTGCAAGGGCTCGGAGGCAGGACTGTGCTTGGCAAGTTGCAGGAACAGCTGGGAGGCAGGTGAGGCTACAGCAGATGAGGAGAGGGGAGTGGTAGGAGGTCAGAGGGCAGGGAGCAGCTCGCGTGGGGCCTTTAGGGCGATAAGGATTTTTGGCTTTCCTGAGTGACGCGGGCACCACTGGAGGCTTTGAGCGGAGGGGGCTATGATCTGACTTAGGTCGAGGACACTGGTGGGGGCAGTGGTGGGGATACCCAGGATGCCAGATGGGTATCCCAGATTCTTGGTGACCCTCGGTAGCCCCTCTGGGCGGTGGCTTTAGGCATCTGGGCTCAGGTGTCACCATTTCACTTGTCGGCCACCCACGGCTGCTTCCTGCCCCATCTGGGGATTCCGGGGACTTTCCATTTCCTCACCTTGCACTTGATTCTGTGATGTGCCTGGACTGGGGATTGTGGAGGCCTGTCCGTGCCCTGAAGCACTTCTGAGAAGCCGGGGAGCAGTTCCCTGGGGTTTCCCCTGGGAAGTCCTGCCGTCCTCTTTCTGCTGCCACCCAGAGCCCGCCCTTTCCGGAGAGCAGTTCCCTGGGGTGTCCCCCTGGGAAGTCCTGCCCTCCTGCCTCTGGCCCTTGCTCAAGCCGCGCCCCCATCTGGATGCCCACTTCTTCCACTCTGCTCTGTTGGACCAATTAGGCCAACTCTGGGGATATGTGACCCCAGTGTTTGTGATCAAACGGGGCCCAGACTCATTGACATCCTGCGTGAACTACAGTTTTGGTAGAGGTGCAAGTGGATTCTGTGTGGCACAGAAGATGGCGAGTGGTGACGGCTGTGTTGCCTGCATGCCACCGACAGCCCGCCTCTTCTTTCCATCTTAATCCATCTTGCCAGCTCTCAAGGGCTGTAGGCACTTCGCCCTGAATCCTCCTCTGAGCCGGCTTTGCCTCCTGCTGTTCCCACTGAGCGAATTAAATAAGTCTTTGCCCTGTGCCCACTGTATGTGCAAGGTCATGCAGGTTATGCTTTGAACTTCCAAAAATGCGCTCAGAAATCTTTCCTGTCCTCTAGGGCCCATCTCTGATGCCACCTTCACCTTCTGGATTCTCTCCAGGGGAGGAGGTCAGGCCCTTGGGAGGTACCCTTTGCCCTCTCTGCTGGGGATCCTGGAGAGTCCCTCCCCAACTCCCCTGGCCACTGGGACCTCTCTTCCTCCCTGACCTGCCCAGCATCCTCCCTTGGCAGCCTGGCACAGCCCGGACAGAACCTAGAAGGTGTGGATTCTGCCTGCCTGCCCTGTGTCCCCACAGTCCACATGCTGGCCTGGACTCTCAGGCCTCCCCACCTCCAGTCCCTCTCCTGCCCTCTCCATTCCTTCACACACGTGGGCACAAAGCTGGGGCTTCTGTAAGGGTGCATCTGGTAGGACCTCAACCTCCCGTACCCAATGGGGTCTTGGGAGAACAGAAGTTGTGGGTGATGGTTAAGGTGTAGCCCTCTTCCCAACCTTGCACAGCCCCCTGGCTCAGTCCCTGAGGGTAAAATTCAGACAGAGCTGGAAATGACCCAAATGTCCATCAGCTGAGGATAAACGAAATGTGGCAGGCCCACAGAGTAGAACAAGCTTGCCCAGCCAGCAGCGCGGCCCAGGACGGCTTTGAATGTGGCCCAACACACATTCATAAACTTTCTATTTTTTTTTTTTTTTTGAGATGGAGTCTCACTCTGTTGCCCAGGCTGGAGTGCAGTGGTGGGATCTTGGCTCACTGCAACCTCCACCTCCTGGGTTTAAGTGATTCTCCTGCTTCAGCCTCCCAAGTAGATGGGATTACAGGTGCCCGCCACCACACCCAGCTAATTTTTGTATTTTTAGTAGAGATGGGGTTTTGCCATGTTGGCCAGGCTGGTTTCAAACTCCTGACCTCAAGTGATCCACCTGCCTCAGCCTCCCAAAGTGGTAAGATGACAGGCGTGAGCCACCGTGCCTGGCCAAATTTGTAAACTTTCTTAAAACATCATGAGGTTTTTTGTTGTTGTTGTTGTTCATCAGCCATCATTAGCGTTAGTGTATTTTATGTGTGGTCCTAAACAATTCTTCCAGCGTGGCCCAGGGAAGCCAAAAGATTGCACACTCCTGCAGTAGAATATAGGCGGCCAACAGGTGGAGCGGGCACAGACTCAGGCTGCGCCGTGGCTGAGCCTTTACGACGCCAGGAGAAGCGAAAGGAACCAGGCGCAGAGGGCCACGTGGTGTGTGAGGCCATTCACAGCAAATGTCCTGAACAGGCAAGTCCACAGAGACAGAAAGCAGACTTGTGGTTGCCAGGGGCTGGGGGAGGAGGGGTGGAGTGACTGCTGGTGGGAGGGGGCGATGGAAGTGTTCTGGAATTAGTGGTGATGATTACACAGCACTGTGAATATATTAAAAACACTGAAGGTTACACTTTAAGATGGCTAAAATGACTGGGCCTGGTGGCTCACGCCTGTAATCCCAGCACTTTGGGAGGCCAAGGTGGGCGGATCACCTGAGGTCAGGAGTTTGGGACCAGCCTGGCCAACATGGCGAAACCCTGTCTCTACTAAAAATACAAAAATTAGCCGGTTGTGGTCATGGGCGCCCGTAATTCCAGCTACTTGGGAGGCTGAGGCAGGAGAATTGCTTGAACCCGGGGGCGGAGGTTGCAGTGAGCTGAGGTCGTGCCACTGCACTCCAGCCTGGGTAACAGAGCGAGACTCTGTCTGAAAAAAAAAAAAAAGACTAAAATGGTGGATTTCATGTGTTATGAATTTTATCTCAAAAAATAAATTAGGATAGCACCCCCGCCTACACAGACTCTGTCCTGAGCAGCTCTCAGAAGTCCGTAAAATAGGGTGAAAGTGTCGTTGCCCTGCCCCCGGGTTCCCAGTGCTGTGGGGACGTCACCAGCTGCTGGGGAACAGAGGGATGCTGGCACCCACCCAGGGCTCAGGGCAGGGCAGGAGCTTGGTGTGCGCTAGAGACTAGAGTGAGAAGGCCCTTCCCCGGCCCTCACAGAGTGCCTTGCCACTGGGGAGTTGAGTGAAGGCACAGACAAGGTTGTGAGGTACCCACGCTGCCGTGTAGTGTCACCACGCCCTGATGTGTATAACCTGTTTTCTTTGCTCATCTGGGTGGACTGGTGGGGCATTTGATTCTGGAGGGTGGGGTTCCAGTCTGCATGGTTCCCTGGGGATCCCTGGCCCCAACATGAAGGCAGTGTGGCCTGAGGGCCTCTCAGTCCCCAAGGTGCTGACCCACCGCTGCCTTTCCCGAGTCCTCCCTGGGCCCTGCTAGGGGAGGCCTGGGAGCTGCAGCATCCAACAGGCCCGTGTGAATGGCCTGGCCACAGCACTGCCAGACAGGGCAAAGTTCCTGGCCCGGGGCTGTCTCTGAGCCCTGGAGCTGGCGGGGTAGGGATCAGCTCCTGTGAGCTCCCTCCATCCCCAGATCCACCCTTCAGGTCCAGGGCTATTTGGTGGCAGCTCCTGGTGGGGCAGGGGGATGGGAGGGATGGGAGCCTCCATCTGTGGACCCGGCACCCAGTCTGCCTGCAGGCCTGGTGATTGTGGCCCGACCTCCTGCCCACCCCTTCTGGGCACCACGGCGATGCCCAGAGCCCCTGAGGGGCTGTGCAGGCAGGGCATAAGATGGCAGAGGGCTCCACATAGCCCCTAGGCTGGCAGGATGTGTTCTGAGCTGAGGTCCTCTGGAAAGCGCCTGTGGATTTCTGGCCCCTCCCTGGTGTGTTCCCCACCTGCCTGCTGAGCCTTCAGATGCCTGGGAGAGCAGGTCTCCCTTAGGTCCGCTGGTTCTGATGGTTCCCCTCCTTCTCTCCTGGGAGCTGGGCAGGTGCTCAAAGCGGGCAGTGCAGGCTGCCCAGCGTGCCCAGCTCCCAGGATGCACCATGTGACCCAGGCCCCCTCCTGCCCTGCTTGCGCTGGCGAGGGGCCGTGGCTGGGTGCCCAGCGGTGCCTGCGGGGGCCCACTCCCTGGGGCAGTGCCTGCCTGCCACCCACCTGGGCTGGGCATCCAGTCTGGCCTTGGCTGTTGTCATGGCAGCCAATGCCTGCAGCCGGGAGCTAAACTTGCTACCCTCAAGCCACTGTCACCACGGCTGTGACGAACATGGGGACATACAGCCTGGGTCGGGGAGGTGACCAGGCCTGGCTCTGCCCAGCCCCTGCTGCGGACGGTCACCGCGGTCACAGCCCACATGGCCTGCCTGCCACCCCCTCATGCCATGGCCTGGGCTGTCTGAGGTTCTGTGTCATGGATGAGGCCCCAGGATCACAGAAGTGCCCACAGCCACACAGACGGGCAGGAGTCGGGAGGCCCCGGCCCCCAGGCTCCCAGCCAGACTGGGGGAGTGGGGCTGGCCCAATCTGGAGTTGCCAAGGTGGGGTTCGGTGAGGCACCATTGTTGCTAGTGCCTGGTTTCAAAAACATTCCAGAAATGCCCTGCTGGCCACCTGCCTGGCTCTGAGGTCCCCACATCTGTGGAGGAACAGGGGCTTTAAGAAGCCCTGCGGGGAAGAAGCCCCATCCACGCAGGCTCCCCTGAGGGTTCTGAGGCACCTGCTGGGAACTGTGGTCTTCTTGGGGCGCTCGGTGTCCTCACAGCCCCTGTGGGTACCTGGCAAAGTGCCAGTGTTCCAGGGACTCAAGCGAGGCCTCTTGGAAAGGGTAATAATGTCCCTCAGATCCCAGGAGAAAACCAAGGGCAGGTCCATGAAGGACAGCCTTCCAGCGAACCCATCCTACAGACGAGCACACTGAGGCACAGAGGACAGCCTTCCAGCGAACCCATCCTACAGATGAGCACACTGAGGCACAGCGAGGTTGAGGGATGTACCCATCACACAGCTCACAATGGGGAGCCAGGAGGGGAACCAGGTCACACAGCCCTGTGTGAGGACAGTGGCCATGGGCTGAGCAATGGCCAGGCCTTGCGGGTGGAAAGGAGCTGTCCCCTCCCCTGGACCCCAGAGAACCCACCTGCCTTGGCTTTGAGCTGAGCTTTGAGCCGGGGTCACTGGCTGAGTCTCGCACCCTCTCTGAGCCTCAGGTTCCCCATTTGTCAGATGGGGAAGGCCAAGACCCAGGGTAGATGGAGCCTGAGTCAGTGCTGGCAGCACTGGCGTTGTGGGCTGGCAAGGCGTGGGGCACCTCTGTGTGCATGGGGTGGACCTGTGTGTGCCTAGCAGCCTCCCTGCCACAAACCACCCTCCTCCTGTATGCCAGGGTCACAGGAGCTGAAGACAGTGGCCGAGCCCCGCTTTTTCTGCCCCCTCTTGATTGTTTCAGGGACGAGGTCTGGTTCTTTGTCAACCCAAGTGCCCAGCACAAGGCTTGGCATATGGTGGTGGCCTGTAAAAGCCAGTGATGTGACTATGAAACCAATCCACTCATAGCACTGCACGTGCTTTTTGGGAGGGAGCTGGCTCAGAGAGGAAAGGCCATCAGCACTGGTCCCCCCAGTAGGATCTAGGCACCATGGGGAACCTGCGGGCCCCTCCAGCCCCTCCACCATGTGTCCTGGGGGTAGCCCTATCCCCCTGGGCCTCAGTGGCGCCGTGTGCACTGGCTCTGGGGGTGCCAGGCTGCGTCTCACCATCGGGCCAGCCCAGAAATAGCTGTGACCTTCCGCAGCCAGCTTGGCAGCGCTTGGGGCCAAGAGGCCTACGTGCATGCCGGCTGAGTCCCCTCACCGTGCAGGGCTGGCTATTTTGGACGTGGCCTCCCGAGGCCAGGTCAGAGCTCTTTCCCGCGGTTCCTCAGGCCCCTCTGACGTGCGTCCACTAGAGCCTCGGCCAGTGGCCCTGGCTAGCTCCATGATCTCGATCCCCCTTCCTGTCCCCGACCCCACGGGCCCTGGGTGGCACAGAGGAAGGGATCCCAGGGACTGAGCACAGGGTGACCGCGCCTGCTGGGGCTGACATGGAGTGTAGGGCTTGGCTGTTTTAAGAAGAAAATGCAGAGAAAGTGCCCACCCTGGGTAGGCCCTGAATCCTGTCTCAGCCTCTCAGAGCTCTCGCTGACTGCACAGCCTGAGCCTCGGTTTACTCATCCACAAAATGGGGTGATGGGCGCCTTCCAGGACTGCTCTGAGGATGGACATGGGCATTGCCTGTGCTGAGGGCACCACGCGAGGCCACTACACAGAGGGGTTCTTGGGCCTTCTCCGCCTTCCATGGGACTGGACACTGGGTTCAGGGAGGGGCGTCATGGGTATATGGGGGTGCTGCGCTGGGCAGTGGCTAAGCGTGGGCTCTTCCTTTTCTGTGACACAGCAGAGGTGTACATGCCTGCTGCCCTGTCCAGGGCGTCTGGGTATGGTGGAAGTGGCCCCAAGGTCCAGCCACCCTCAGGGACCACAAGCTTCCTGGACACCCTGCTGACAGGGTCCCACTGTGGAGGAACAGGCCGGCCCAGCTCCCCACCTCCCAAGTGAGCATGGGTGGCTGGGTGGGCGTGAGGGATTGGCTCCCCTGCTAGAGGGCAGAACTCCTGTTCCCGTGAAGGTGCTGGGTGGGGTGTGAGTCTGCTCCTGGGTTTGGGGTCAGGCATGCCAGGAACAGCAAGCAGGGGCTGCCTGCCTGCCTAGTGCTGGCTGCATGCTCATGGCCCTCAGGGCCCTGTCCCCTGGATGGTCCAGGGGTCCCGAGGAGGAGCCATGGCCTCTTCTCCGTGGAGAGGCCCTGTGGGCCCAAGGCCTGGCTCCATCCAGGCAGGCACATGGAATTCAGCCAAACTCTGGATCCTTTCTGCAGAGCAGGCTTAGCTTGAGCCCTCCCACAGCGAGCTCGCCCACTGCCCACCCTGCCCTCTCAGCCTCTGTGACAACTCTGTGGGCACTGCCAGGGGCAGTTCCTGTGTATTCTCATCTGGTGATGGGTTCATAATTCTCATGTTGTGTGGGTGACTAACAAGGTCTGGGAGCTCAGGAGAGGGGCCCAGAGGCACACAGCATGCACGGGACGGTTTTGCAGTTCCCAGGGGGCACCTGGGGTGGAGGCTTAGCCAGGCCCAGTGGGCTCAGGGCTGGCCTCATGCCCTTCCCCTGTTGTGGACCACTTTGGGGCCTCTGGCTGATGCTGGTGGGTGAGGACCTTCCTGGGCAGCCTCCTCCGGCCAGCAGGAGGGACCATCAGGCCATGCGGACCCTTGGAGAGCTTGGGGGTCGGTTCCTGCCCTGGAGTCAGCTGTGTCTGCTGAGGGTCCACTGGTGTGTGGCACAGAAGGGGTAGGGGCTGTGCCTGGTGTGCCAGGGAGGCCCTGAACTCTCCGGGAGGCCAGATCAGGGGCCTCCTCTGGGCCTGCTGGGGGCCTCTGCATTCTTGGCAGGGCCTCAGGGACTGGGGCGGGGAGAGGCTCCTTCTCAGAGGCTGTGAGCTCCGAATGAAACTCCATGCCCTCCGGGACACCATGCCCACTTCTGGGTACTGGCCTTCAGGGGCCTTGGATGTGGGTGGCATGGCACTGGCTAAATGGGGCCCAGGAGGAAGGCAGCAGGACCGTGGGCATGCAGGCCTAATGCCAGGGCCAGGGCAGGCTTCATGTGGGCTTCCTCCTGTCTGGAATCCTGGAGCCGCACAATTTCCGACCCAACACCCCGTACTCCAGAGCGACTGGCTCTTAACGGAAGCTGCTGCTGGCAGGTGTGTTATAACAGAGCTCTGGGGTGGGAGGCTGGGGGCAGGGAGGGTTAGGGCCGTCAGAACACGGCTCCCTCCTGCCCAGGGCAAGGTGGGGCCACGTGTGCGCATGTGAGTGGGGCACCTGGTCTGGGTGTGGCCTGGGAACCTGCATGTTACAGACGCCATGGCTTTGGAAACACTCAGGAGTCCAGCTGTGTCTGTTCCAAGATGGGTCAGGGTTGCCGCAGGGAGGGCAGTGACTGGTCCACAGCTGGTGTGGCTGTGCCATCCTCCTTCCAGCCTGGGCAGAGGCCTTCCAGGCAAGATGAAAGATGCGGTATGGACAGGAGGACATGGAGGATTCAGGGCTCTTGGTGTAAAGATGCTGTGTGGACAGGAGGACATGGAGGATTCGGGCTCACGGTGTCCCTGGAGGCTCTGGTGGGCGTCGTGGGGCTGGACTGCTGCGGGGCAATGGGGTCCCCATCTTCCCGGCACAGGCATCTGATCTGGTCATCTGTTTCTGTGGCGTGTGTGTGTGTGTGTGTGTGTGCACGTGAGCACACATCTCTGTGTATGCAGGTCAGTGTGTGTGCTTGCCAGAGCTTCCCATTGGGCGGTTTCCACACTGGCTTCTCAGTCATCCTGGGAGGTAAGGCATGAGCACTGGACTGGGAGTCCTGTCTGAGCCACCGACTTGGCCTGCCATTGTGGAGCTGTCCTGTCCACTCGCTGGACATTAGGCCATTTGTGTACAATAATCCCCTGAGATTTGTATCCTCCCATGGGGAGATCAAAAGGGGCCGAGTGTGGCCCTAGGGTCTGGGGGCCCAGCCTGGTGGGTAGACCTGGCTTCTGGGACTGTAGTGGTGGAAGGTGGCTGGGGCAGGGGAGGTTCACTCACTGGGAGGCTGGAAGAGGTGGCCCGGTAGGGAGAGAGAAGGGCAGCCAGACAGAGGGCACGTGGGAGCAGCAGCCTGGTGGCAGGTGTGTGAGTCTCTGCACCTGGCCGGGGTCTTGAGGAGCAGGAGAGGTTCGGGCAGGTGGCTGAGGAGAATGCGGGCACTGAGCTTGGGAAGAGCCCTGGACTGGGGGGGGGGTAGGGACTGTTGGGCAGCCCCAGACTGGCACAGGTGGATCGGGTGCCTAGGCAGGGGGTGGTGAGTTATGGCGCAGCTGTCTTGGTGGCTGGGGGGAGCAGGGATAAGGGTGGACTTCTTAGTGACCGCTCTCTGCCCCAGGAGGTAGAGTCCTGGGGGCTGGGCTGGCCTGAGAGACGCCCCCTCATCCTTTCCAGGGTGAGGTACGAGGGCTCCGCCCCCTCCTGATATCACCAGGCCTAGGGCAGCATCCTGATGGGGGAGGGGCAAGTGACCCGGGCCCTGGACTGCAGGAACAGCCCCTCCTCCACTGGTGGAGTTCCCACTTCCTGCGGAAGGAACTATGTTAGAAGTTGTGTATATGGGGTGGGGGTTGGGTGTGGGTGGCGGGGGGCCTGGGTGGGGTCCACTGAGTCGCCTCCCCTGTCTCCCTGCACTTCCTCCTGGAGGAAATGGGGACAACAGGATGAAGTGAGGGCCTGCTGAGCCCAGGGCTGCCACCTGGGAGTGAAGCCGGGGCAGGCTGCAGGGTCCGGGCCCTTCTGTGTGGGCAGGTGGAAGTGGTGGGGATGCAGTGAGGCTCCCTCCAGCGCGGCAAGGAACGGGCCCTGGGACCCTCTTCCCAGCCTGCAGCAGGCAGTGGGGAGACAGGCCGGAGCCCTGGACAGCCCCCAGTCTTTCCCCACCCCAACTACAGGGCCTGGGTCTCCGTGCGCCATCCCCCTCCCGCCCCCTCCCGCTCGCTCCCGCTGTTACAGGGCCCTAGGGACCGCCCTGTCCCCCGTGGGCCCCAGAGCCCAGGCCAGCGCTGGAGGGACCCTCCTGCCCTCTGGCCGGGACCAGGGTGCCCGCCGCAGCCCTGGGACCCTGCGGCCCCGGTCCCTATTCGAGGCCCCAGCCGGAGCGTTCCGGGATCCTTCGGGGGAGTGCCCAGCCCCGCGCCCCCGCCTCCCACATGACTCCGGGTGGGCCCTTTTGACGTGCGCGGAGGGCGGGGGGCAGGGGGCGGGGCGGGGGGGCAGGGGGCAGGGGTGGTGAAGGGTAGGGGGCGTGGCGGGGAGAGGGGATGGGGTGGGGTGGGGACTGGGGTGGGGTGGGGTGGGGAGAGGGTGTGGGGTGGGGTGGGGAGAGGGTGTGGGGTGGGGTGGGGAGAGGGGATGGGATGGCATGGGGGGATGTGGCAGTGAGGAGGCTGGGCCCTTGGAGCTGCCGAGTGCAGGGGCCTGGAGGACTCCGGGAAGGCGTCCTAGTGCATCAAGCGTGGGCTTGGCCTGCTTGGGTCTCCCCTCCTGGCCCCCCTAGCAATGGGCGGACTTGGGCCCGCTCTGGGAGGATTCCAGGAACGGCTCCTGCCTGGTTATAAATAGACTTCTCCGAAAGGCCTGGGGCTGTGCCAGCTGCAGCAGGTGCCTCCCAGGCCCGGCCAGAGGGCCCCAGGCAAGGGGGTGGAGCCCGGGTGGGGGTGATGAGGATGCTGGGGTCCACTTTTGTAGCGCCAGAGGCGACGGGCTCTGTCTGGTTGTAGCATCACAGAGCTTGATGGGAACTTTCACTCTGAGACCCCTTTTATGGATAAGAAAACTGAGGCTGGGGGGCAGGAGCAGCTTACCCCAGAGGTCCTCTCTCCCAGAGGGCTAGGGTGGGGATAAGCAGGGTCTCGGGGGCAGCAAGACCCAGCTCCAAATGTGGTTTTTCTGCCTTCTGGCTGTGTGACTCAGAAGGGTTGCTCAGCTTCTCTGTGCTGTTATGGTTTGTCAGTGCAGTGTGGCAGGTGTGTGTCTTGCTTGTGGAATGCAGTGTCTAGCCTGGTATCCTTAGAAAGTGGCTGAGGTTGGAGATTGGTGGGGCAGAGTCCCTGAAGCTGACCCATTCTTGCCTTCAACCTTCAGGGAGACGCTGCTGGAAGTGGTGAGCTGAGAGCACTGGGCAGGAGTCAGAGCCTAGCGTCTCCCTGTGGAGCTGGGTGCACCCACGTGGGTGGGTGCCCTTGCCAGGGAGCTCACACCCTTGGGGGTCCATGAGCTGGCAGGCAGGGCTACCTGGCTTGGTGTGCCCTTGGGTGGAGGCTCCCATGGGGCCCTTCAGACTGGGCACAGCCCTCCTGTCCTCTGCTCCCCAGCCTGCTTGCCCACCTGGAGGTGGGAGGAGGCGAGGGTTGCCGGCACAGCTGGGCCAGGCTGATGGTGATGTTTTCTGGAAGTGTGGGTGGGGAGAGCCTGGCAGGGGGAGGGGGGGTCGTGCTCTCAGCTGGGCCCCTTGATGACCTCAGATTGCAGGGACCAGGTTGTTTGAGAGCTGCAAGCAGGGCCACACCTCCAGGGACCCTGTGCTGGGGGTACCACCCTTGCCGCTCCACCCTGCTCTGAGGGCCCTGGGTGGCCAGGGCGGGCACAGAGTGGGTGGTGATGCCAGCTGCATCCCTGGGGTTCATAGTCTGGGGAGCACATGAGTTCCCGGCACAATGCTCCCAGGAGGCAGAGCCAGGAGTCGCAGGGAGGCGTTTGCTTGAGAGGGTCTGGGAGGGCTTCCTGGAAGAGGGGGCATCAGTGCCGAGCCTCAGAGTTTGTGGAGCCCGCCGCCTGGCTGAATCCTGCCTGCCGGTGTTACCTCAGGGTGTTCCTCGTTGCAGTGCCTCAGTTTCCTCACCAGTACGCTAGGAGAGACCAGCGTAGCCAGCCACAGCGGGGTCGTGAGGATTAAGTGAGGGGACAGCAGTGTCTGGCACGGTGGGTGCTGAGTAAATTCATGGAGGAGTGCCCGGGCGGTGGGGCTGGTGGGCTGGGCAGGGGGTCTGAACTGGAGGGACTCGGGCGCCCTCCTCCTCAGGGTGCAGGACAGCACCTGCACGGCGGGGCCGCATTTCCATTTCCAAAGCTGGGCGCGCTCTGTCCAGGCCTCCCCACCAGGAGCGCGGCCCGGCGGCTCCTGCCCTCCGGACCCCCAGCCCACAGGCCCGTGCAGCCCCATGAGGGGGCCAGGGGGAGCTCCGAGGTTCTAGGGAGGGCGCGCACCGGGAGAGGGCGCCGGGCCGGCCGGCGGGAGGAAGGAGGGGTCCCGGGCGGCAGCGCCCCCGGCCCTCGCCGCGCCCCGCACTTCCCTTTCCTGGCTGGGCTTCCTCTTCCCCGCGCCCGCCCTGCGCGGCCCCTTTGTTTCCCGGGCAGGGCGCGGCTATATTTAGGCGGCAGGTGTGGGAGCCCCCGGCAGCCGGGTCGCCCGCCGGTCACGCCCCCCACGTGACGCCCGGGCGCTATAAATAGCCGCAGGCGGCGGTGGCGGCAGCGCCTGGAGCCGGCTCCGCGGCGGAGGGGCGGCGCCCCGACCCAGGGCCAGCACCGTGGGCACCGCCAGGCCGGCGCGTATGGAGGCGGTGGGACGCCTGCGGCGCGGGTGAGCCTGGCAGGTGGGGACGCGGCGGACCCAGGCCTTCCGGGACCCCAGCCCCGCCGGGGAGGAGGTGGCGCCCTCCGGAGGGCTGGGCGGGAGCCCCGCTGGCACCCAGGGAGGGGGCCGCGCCCCTTACCACGACCCCACCCGCGACTGGTTCCCCGGGACTCCCCAGAGCGCCCGCCTCAGCCCTGACCGCGGCGCAGCTTACTTCTCCTGAGACCCGCTGAGCCCCGGGCCTCCAGCCTCCTCCCCCAAAATCACAGGGGGCGCCCTGTCTGAAGCGGGGGCTGGATTCAAACTTCTTAAGCTGCTGTGCCATCGGGAAGGAGGGCGGTAGCCTCCCTGAACCTCGATTTCCTCTTCTGTGCAGGGCGCTGCGTGTTGTTCCTGCCTCCTAGATTTGAGCCAGAGAGAACCCAGTTAACTGGACGCCTGGTGTGGCCCTGGTGGAGAATGTTCTCCCCTCTCCCTGGCTTGTTTCCTCATCTCGCAAACAGGGACAAGGATGGACTCTCCCTTAAAGGGTCTTGAGAAATAGCTGAGGGCTCTGGGCCTGCTGGCCCGAGGAGGCTGAGCCAGATCTTGGGAAGGGTTCTGCAGGGCTTGGTAGCAGGAGGGAAGGAGGTAGCAGGAGGGAAAGAGGGGCCACGGCTGCCAGTGGGTCCCCGTGCTGTGGGCCGCGGGCCTGGTGGGGGTGGTAGCGACTCAGGACACATGGAGGCAGGGGCAACCTGTCCCCATTTCGCAGATGGGAAGCCTGAGGCTTTGGCTTCAGGGAGTTCTCAGTGCCCATCCCTGGGGATCCTTAACCCTTGCTCTCAGGGCCCTACCTGGTGACCTCACTGGGGGCGTGTGGTTATGGAGGGGTTTTCTCCCTTGGGGGACAGCCACCAGGCAGGGCAGAGCCACATAGTGGTGCCAGGGCATCATTGCTTTGCTCTCACCTGGGGCAGGGGTAGGGGCCCTAGGCTGCAGAGACAAGTGGGATGTGTGGCAAGACCCTGGTCCAGCCTCTCCCTGGACCCCTAACCCCATTCTAGCCTGGGCTGTGACCCCTGAGCGTAGCCCAGGCTAACCCCCTGATTCCGGCAGATGTGTGGCATCCTTAGGCCTTCAGTGGGGGGTAGTGTGGGGTGGTTCGGAGCCTCCTCCCTCCCAGTAGCCTGCAGCCCTGAGGACCTGTGCAGGGCCACTAGGCAGCAGGTCCAGGCCACGTGCTGGTGCCTGTGGGGTCTTCCTGGGTCCCTGGCAGCTGTAGGTGTGAGGGGTTGGTCAGCCCCTCAGGGAGAGGCCCAATACTGTGGTTTCTCTGGTGCTTTTCTTCCTTTCTTTCTGTAAACATGAGCTCGGCTCCCGTGTGCACACACACAGGGACATCCTGCTGCCCCAAGAGGGACCCAGGTGTTTGTGTGCTGTTAGCACGTGGTGGCTTCCCTCACCCACACTCAGAGCCTGTGCTCCCTCCAGTCGGGCAAGGTGGGGACTGGCGGGACCAGGGACAGTATCCTTGTCTCCACCTTTACCTCCTTCTGGGGGTCCCACCCCACCACCGGTTTTTTTTTTTTTTTTTGAGACGGAGTTTTGCTCTTGTTGCCCAGGCTAGAGGGCAATGGAGCGATCTCGGCTCACTGCAACCTCTGCCTCCAGGGTTCAAGCGATTCTCCTGCCTCAGCCTCCCGAGTAGCTGGGATTACAGGCATGCACTTCCATGCCTGGCTCATTTTTTATTTTTTTATTTTTAGTAGAGATGGGGTTTCTCCATGTTGGTCAGGCTGGTCTTGAACTCCTGACCTCAGGTGATCCGCCCGCCTTGGCCTCCCAAAATGCTGGGATTACAGGAGTGAGCCACTGCGCCTGACACCCACCGCCCATTTTAACCTTCCCAGAACCATGCAGTGGACAGAGCCTGAGGTGTGGCGGCTGCTCTGAGCCCATGAGCACTGGCTGCCACCCAGGGTGTGGAGGGCAGGCAGGGAGGAGCCCACTGTCCCAGGTAGCCACCCTCTGAGTCCAGGGGCCCAGGCCTCAAGCCCTACCTGCACCTGGGCTGAAGCTCCAAGGGCCCAGCCTGCCTGGTGGGCAGCTGGGAAGGGGGTGCTGGGGCTGGGGCAGGGGCACAGGTGAGAGGGGGTGGGTTGGGGAATGGAGGGCTCTGCTGGGCGAGGGGCCCTGAAGTGCCTTTCCTTGGGTAGCAGGCAGTAGTGACAGGGCCGGGCTTGGGTTGAGTCTAGGGGGCTGGAGAGTCTGCTAACAGCTGGGTCACAGCCAGGGCCAGCAGTGCGGGGACCCCTCAGCAGCAGTGCCCAAATACAGCTTGGGTCACTTGTGTCACCCCTCATCGTGCTCATGGGGTAACAAAGAGGCCGGCACCTTGCTCAAGGCCTCCCAGCCCTTCCGTAGAGAGGGAAGGGGGCTGCGTGCTCCTGGAACCCCTTTGCCTGGGAGCTTTGGGGTCATGAGACCCAGAAAGGGAGAGAGGCAGGCGTGGAGGTGCCTTGGGTTGCTGTGGCCCCCCCTGCCGCCTCCCCTCTTCAGGGCCCTGTCATGGTGTGAACCCACTCCTGGCCACCTGTGCTGTCACCACCTTGGCATGTGTGCCTGATGGCTGGCCCATTGGCGTGTTCTGTCCCCGCCTCCCTGAGCTCCTGGAGGGGCAGAGCTGGCCTGTTTATCCCCGAGCCTGGCTGAGACCTGTGTGAGCAGTGGAGACACAGTGGCGGGGGGACACTGGTGGACAGGGGGCTGCTGACAGGCAGGAGACTTTCTGCAGAAAGCAAGAGGCGATTAGGGTGGCCCACGGCCGCGTGTGGGGCCAGGCCCCTCACCTCCCTGTGCTGGCAGCACTGACCGAGTGCCTGGGCCCCATTCCCTGAGGATGGGCCACCCAGAGACACCTGGGCTCAGATGTTCACAGTGGCTGAGAATCGGAAGAGGAGAGGGCAGCTGTCCTGGGGTGGAGTTTCCGCAGATCACAGCAGGTGGGCAGGGGCCAGGCTCAGGCTTCTTAGGAACTCGGCCTCTGTCCCCACAGAGGGATCTGTCATCTGTGTGCTGGGGTTCATCATGTCCTCGGGGGTGTGTGTGTCCCTGAAATCCCTGTCCCCTCTGTCCTCCGTCATGCCCTGCTGGCTGTGTGGTGGCTACCCTGTCGCCTCTGGGCCCTGGGTCAGTCCTGGCAGGAGCCGTGCTTCCTTGTGCTCCCATATAAGGAAATAGACCCAAAAGGGTCATTCTCTCAGCATGGTCAGGAGGAGGGCTCTGGGAGAGGTGTCGCCTGTGACTGTGGGCTCATGACAGGCATGAACCCCTTGTGGGAGGCGGGGCCCCCTGTGATCCCTTTCTATTCATTTCCTTCGTCTTTCCCCACAGATGCTGTGTGCTGTGGACCCACCTGGGGTTCATGGAGTGGGCCACGGGGCCCAGCCCTAAGCACTGCTGCGCCCAGGGTCGCCGCGCCTCCTGCTGAGGGGTCCCCGTGCCACTGGCTCTCACCATTGCCCTCGCCTGCCGATGGCCTCTGCTGCCCAGCCTGGGGCCAGCTCTACCGCCTGAGCCCCCTGCCCCACTCCAGGACTCACCGTACCCCGATGGGGTAACGTGACACAGGCCCCACACGTCAGAGGCCGCTGTCCCCACGGCCACTGCCCGTGACCCCTGGCCCAAGGCAGCTGGAGTTGGTTCAGTTCAAGTTCATTCTTCCTCTGGCCCTTGGGGGCTTGGGGCCCACCTCTGAGTGAAGGGGGCTGTCTGCCCATCCACCAATGTGGAGAGGGCGCCCCCGGTGTGGGGTCCAGCTCTGGACACTGCTTGGCGGCCGGGTTCACTTTGAGTTTTTAAGTTTTCTTTGCTGAGCTTTTTTGGTTGTTCTTTTTATTTTTTGCCTCTTTATGACTATCCAGCTCTGAGAGACGGGAGTTTGGAGTTGCCCGCTTTACTTTGGTTGGGTTGGGGGGGGCGGCGGGCTGTTTTGTTCCTTTTCTTTTTTAAGAGTTGGGTTTTCTTTTTTAATTATCCAAACAGTGGGCAGCTTCCTCCCCCACACCCAAGTATTTGCACAATATTTGTGCGGGGTATGGGGGTGGGTTTTTAAATCTCGTTTCTCTTGGACAAGCACAGGGATCTCGTTCTCCTCATTTTTTGGGGGTGTGTGGGGACTTCTCAGGTCGTGTCCCCAGCCTTCTCTGCAGTCCCTTCTGCCCTGCCGGGCCCGTCGGGAGGCGCCATGGCTCGGATGAACCGCCCGGCCCCGGTGGAGGTGAGCTACAAACACATGCGCTTCCTCATCACCCACAACCCCACCAACGCCACGCTCAGCACCTTCATTGAGGTGAGTGGAGACGGAGGTGTGGCAGGCAGGTGGCCCAGGTGTCTGGGAAGCCCGGCTGAGCTGCCCTCAGGCCTCGCAAGAGGGGTCCCCAGCCCCGGCTGGCCAGACAGGGCTCACAGCCTTGGAACAAAGCCCAGTCGCCTGTTACAGGATCCTGGAGGAGGGAGATGGGGGTGCCCCGGGGGTTGGGGTTGAGGGTGTTGGGGGATCAACGGGGTCCCCTGGGAGGCCTGCAGGGGGCTGGCGTGTGATAGGAGGGACTCCACGCTGTGTGGATAGAGGCAGGGGGTGAGGCAGGGGGATACATGGACCAGGCTGTGCGTGCTCAGCCGTGGCCTGGGCTGGGGCCCTCCCGAGCCCTTTGCTGTCCCAGATGTTGCTGGGCTCTGGATGAGGCCTCAGGTTAGACCAGGCTGGACTAGGGGCTTCAGGGCCCAGATCTCTGTGTGAGGAGGGACTGAGCAAGGGTCAGCGCTGACCACAGGAGGGAGGGACCACTGTGCCCTGGAGAGGCAGCAGAGATACCTGCCGCTGGCAACCCTGGCAGATGGGACGAGATGCGTTTACAGAAGCTTTCTTGGGAGTGGAGTCTGGAGCGACCTGCATGGCCTCCTGGAGGAGCCTGGCCTCTGCAGAACGCCCTGCTGTTTGCAGGCCTGGGGCCGTTTGCAGCGTCTGCAGTTGTGTGCGGGGCCGTTGACAGAGCCTCTGACTGTGCCAGGCTGTGTGAGAGGCTGCAGCTGTGTGCAGGGTCATTTATGGCTGAGTCCTTTCCCCTGTGACATGAGATAAGCCATCATGGTCTTGTCATAATGAAACAGATTTGGGCGTGAGAGGGCATTAAGAACTGTAGAGCAGCAGGAGGCATTGGGCACCTTGCCATCAGGGAGCCTGGACCCTGGACACTGAGCCAGGTGCCCTACAGAAGATGGCTGTCCCTCTCGCAGCTGAGACCCCTGAGATAACAGCAGCATCTACAGAAAGATTGGCGAGAACAGCACGGTGAGTGGCCAGGGTGAGGCCTCAGAATATGACTGGGATCAGGGTTAAGTCTGTAACCAAGGTCAGGTCTCAGTGTGTGACCAAGGTTGGGGCTCACTGTTTGACCAGGATCAGGGCTCTGTGTGACCAGGGTCAGGGTTCGGTGTGTGTCTGGGATCAGGGCTCAATGTGTGACCAGGGTTGAGGCTCAGTGTGTGTCCAGGATCAGGGCTCAGTATGTGACCAAGGTTGGGACTCAGTGTGTGTCCAGGATTAGCGCTCAGTATGTGACCAAGGTTGGGGCTCAGTGTTTGACCAGGATCAGGGCTTAGTGTGTGACCAGGGCCAGGGTTTGGTGTGTGTCTGGGATCAGGGCTCAGTATGTGACCAGGGTCGAAGCTCAGTGTGTGTCCAAGATCAGGGTTCAGTGTGTGACCAGGATTGAGGCTTAGTAGGTGAGCAGGGTTAGGGAGGGCTCATCCTGTGACCAGGGTTAACGCTTAGTGTCTGACCAGGATCAGGGCTCAGTGTGTGACCCAGATCAAGGCTCGGTATGTGACCAGGATTAGGGCTCAATGTGTGACCAGGGTTGGGGGCTCAGCACGTGATCAGGATTAGGGCTCAGAGGTGTGTGACTATCAAGGCTCAGGACGTGACCAGGATCAGGGCTCAGTGTGTGACCAGGATCAGGAAGGGCTCAGCCTGTGACCAGGGCCAGGGCTGAGCCGTGGGCTGGGTGGCCATTCCCTCTGCTGAGGGTGCAGAGGGCCTCTGAGGTACCCCATGGCCACAGAGCCCAGCACCCTGCCTGCTCCCTGCATTCTCAGATAGTTGGGTGCTGGCCTCTCTGTGTTCCAGGTCCCTGTCCCGTGACCAGCAAGACCCATCAGCTGATTCCTCACCCCTCCCAAAATAGCTACGAGAGCAGGTGGGGTGGGAACAGCCCCCGCACGTGACCCCTGTGGAGTGGATCCTCCGCAGTGGGGGTATAACTATCGGCCTGGCTGTGAACTACCACCACCTTTTCCCTGGTCGTGTGGGGCTTCCCTGCTGGCGTACAGGGCCCAGCTTCCTCCTGGCTGCCATCTGAGCGGTGCCCACCCTCCCTGCTCTGAGGCGCCCCAGCTGATGCCCGCCCCTCTTAGACCCTAAAAACTGGACCCATCCCTGCGGCTCAGCTGGGGTCGCTGTTCGGATGCAGGGGCTCACACGTGGGCTGGGGAGTCCAGTTCCTGCTGTGGGGACCCAGTAGCTTTTCTGGAAGAAATGTCCTTGCTGGTAGATCTGGGGTCCTGAGCACCCCAGAGGAGGGAGTGGTGTGCTGGGCAGCTGGGGTCCCAGCTGCCAGTTACCGTGAATGTAGGTGGGGACACCTTTGCCTCTGCTGGGTGGCCCAAGGGACCTAGGACAGGCTCTTCGACAGCCAGACACTACCTCGACCAGTAGTGGAGCCTGAAGTCCACTCTTGGTGGACCTCACTGCATCAGGGTCTGCCTGGCTGGAGGGTGACATGCCCTTCCCTGGGGGCTTCAGGGGCCATGACCCTGCCCCAGGGGACTGAGGGGACAGGGCTCCACCCCGAGAGGTCTGAGGGGACATGTCCAAGTCCTGGGTGACTGTGGGGGACACAGCTGTGCCCTGGGAGCCCTGGTGAGTGGGTCCTGCCCCCTGAGCCCTGCAGCCCCAGCCCAGCCCTGCCTCCTCCGTCCTCCCACCCCCAGGACCTGAAGAAGTACGGGGCTACCACTGTGGTGCGTGTGTGTGAAGTGACCTATGACAAAACGCCGCTGGAGAAGGATGGCATCACCGTTGTGGTGAGGCGCGCGCCACGGGGACCCTAGTCACTGCTGCCACCGGGGGAGGGTGGGGCGGGGGGCTCCGGGCCTGCGCAGAGGGTTTGGTGCCCCTCCTGTGGCAGCCCTGGGCATGTCTGTGCCTGGGCCACGTGTGTGTCTGGGTACATCAAGGGAAGGCCAGGGTGTTGGGCCGTGTGACCTCAAGAAAGTCACCCTTGCGCACCCGTCTTTCTGTCTCTAGGGTGGGCCAGCACGGTTCGCCAGGCAGGGGTGGCACATGCTTGGTGCATCGGCCAAGGTGGCGGGTGGGCTCCTCTGCCTGTCTCAGGCCCTCCTCTGGGCCTGTCTTGGGTGCATCTCAGTCTTGCTGCCTGGGCGGCTGGGGCCCTGTTGCCAGGCAGCAGGCTCCTGGGGAGGGCCCTTGGGCAGTTTCCTCGGCTTCTTTGGCCCTGGGGACCCAGGTCTGGGCGGGGGGTGGGGCGGTTCTGCTGCGATATCCTTGGGGGGGTGGGCCACAGCAGCTGCAGGCCCAGAGCCAGCCCCAGGGGGGTCCACCCCCGGCCCGGTGGACGACTGCCCCCCTGGTGCAGGCCTGCCCAGCTGCGCCTGGGCCTCAGTCTCCTCAGTGCGGAGCACCCCTCAGTCACTGCTTTTCATCCCAGGACTCTGCTTTTGGCTGGGGTTGCAGTTTTGTGACCTCAGCTTGGCGGTTTGGAATGGTGGCAGCGCTGGCGGTTTGGGGTCAGACAGGCCTTGGGCTGCGTCCCGCCTCTGCCCTCCCCAGCCTTGCGACCCTGCAGGTCACTCCGAGCCTTGGGTTCCTCACCTCAAAGCGAGGCTGCTTGGAAGAATGGGAGGCAAAGGCATGTCCCCGCTTCTCGCACGGGGTGCGCCCACACCCTCCCTCCCCTTCCACAGCAGCGGGAGGGATTGGGGTCAGACGTAAGTAGCCGTGACACCGGTTGTCTCTAGGAGTTGCCCTGCCTGGAGGCTGGGGAGGGGTGAGATGCCCCCGAGGGCTGTGTGTCTGCCTCAGTGGGCCCAGCGGGCTCTCCCTGGTACCAGACAGCCCCATGCCTGGCACAGTCCCTGCATGAACCCGCCTTCCCAAGACTGAAACGTGTCCACTCCTACTGCAGCGCCCTGGCCCGGGCCCTCCCCTAGGAAGACTCACGTTGCCCACCGATCTAGGGCGCTGGGGGACGGGACAGTGGGAAGCACAGGTCATCTTCCAAGACCAAATTAACCCCCAGGAGCAATGGGCCGGGGCCCGGTGGAACCGCCTGTTTCGAGTCCTGCCCTCAGAAATGTGGGCCCTGTCTCGCCCCACAGCCCTGTCTTCAGTCCTTCCTGGCACCTGGGCTGTGTGTGGCATGTGCCAGCCATCTTTGCATGCCAGCACAGGGGATGAGACCCTTTGCACCAGCCGACCCAAAACCTCTCAGGCTGCCACCGGCACACAGGCGTGAGGGATTGTGACCCCAGAACCAGAGCTCGGGCTGACAGGTGTGGGGATTAGGATTTGTGCGACTCTGGAGCAGGCTCTATTCAGAAAGGGGTGGGGTGGTCCAGGAAGGCTTCCTGGAGGAGGGGATAGCTGCAGTGTACAGGGAATGATGAGGAGTCTGAAGCACTCACCATGGGGTGCCCATAGGCAAGCTGTGCCCCTCCTGTGTGCCCTCTGGGTCTGCTGCCCCCACCCTAGTGGGCTCCTGGCACCCTCTGCCTCTCAGAGCTCCCTTTCCTCGCCTGAGCCCCAGAGCCGCCTCTCTACCCTCCCTCAGCCGGGGGTCCTCATGTCTGCTTCCCTCCGTAGGACTGGCCGTTTGACGATGGGGCGCCCCCGCCCGGCAAGGTAGTGGAAGACTGGCTGAGCCTGGTGAAGGCCAAGTTCTGTGAGGCCCCCGGCAGCTGCGTGGCTGTGCACTGCGTGGCGGGCCTGGGCCGGTGAGTGTCGGGGCGGGGTAGGGCTCGCCATGTCAGGTGGTTGGGCATCTCGTGGTCTGACAGCCTCGCTTTTGGATGTGGGTCTTGAACACACGTCCACGCGACCTTCCCAGGAGGCCCATGCCCCTAGTGCTGGGGCTCCCAGACTGGTCCTCTCCCAGCATCACAGAGAGGAAGTGCTTCCCAAAGTCTAACCCAACTTCTTCCTGCTATGGTTGAAACCATCCTGACATCTTGTGTAGGAAAGGGCTGCCGTCCCCCTCTCCAGACACAAAGATCCCCCCACACACAGCTGGGGCCTCAGACTCCCTGCTGGGAGAACGGGAGGAAGAATGGCAGCTGGGATCGGATGACATGACCAGTGGGACACCCCCATCTGCAGAGGGAGACCCAGGCGAGCAGAGTTGATAGCAGGCATGGATCCGGCTCTTAGCACTTCACCCGCCAGCTCTTATTTAACCCTCCCCCAGCAGATCACAGAGAGGTTGCCTAGGAGGGAGCCAGGATTTAGACCCAGTGCTCAGGCTGGGCTGTGAGGCTGTGGCCTCCATGGGGGAGCTTCAGGCAGGGGGGATTCTGGGCCCCTTGGGCCCCCGTGCCCTGCATCTTCAGCAGGTGCCCTGCCAAGGGGACAGGGGTGCGCAGGCTCCGATGACCCCCGCCCTGCTGTTTGCCCCCAGGGCTCCAGTCCTTGTGGCGCTGGCCCTTATTGAGAGCGGGATGAAGTACGAGGACGCCATCCAGTTCATCCGCCAGTGAGTGGCCGCGGTGGTGGGGTGGGCTGTGAGCGCTGGGGGAGGGGAGATCCGGCTGCCCACGAAGGGTGGCGGCATTGGCTGTGTGGTTCCGTCGCTCTGAGGCTGCGTCGATCAGCACAAGCTGGGCCTTGCTGCAGAAACGGGGAAGCCTGAGGTGTTTCTGATGGGTGGGGACAGCAGCCCCCGAGTGACCATGCAGCCACACAGGGACACAGCGAGGCCACCCGCCACGCCGTCCTGCCCGCCCTCCACAGACAGAGCTCCTTCTGTCGCAGCCATCCTGACGGGGGTGGAAGGACCCCCAGAGCCAGCCAGTTCAGTCCCTCCATGAAAAACTAGAACCTGAAACCCCACACCACACCGTGTCCACCCCCAGGGACGCTGACAGTGGGCTAGTGTCTCAGGACTACTCTGAGTCTAGCTGCTCACCACCCCTCCCCCCAACCCCGAGCTCTCCAGCTCAGCCCCTCCCCGCCCTCCTTAGAGGCTTCTAGGCCAGCTCGCCTGCCCCATCCCTGTCACTTGGTGGCCTCCCTGGGGAGGGCTGCCATCTGCCCACTGCCCAGGGGGTCCTGGGGGAGTCTGGCCGGGATGGCAGGGCCAACTCTGGAGGAACGGATGCGGCACCTGAAGCCTGCCCCTGCCCAGCCCACCATGTGTGTGCCCGTGAGTGTGACACACCTGTGGTACTCCTCGGACAGGCTTGGCTGGTGGGGCCATCTCTTCCTCCCAGAGGCAGGCTTGTTCCCAGCCATGCCAGCTGGCCCTGTGGGTCTGTGTGAGAGTGTGGCCCGCCCTGTGGGTCTGCGAGAGCGTGGCCCGCCCTGTGGGTCTGTGCGAGAGCGTGGCCTGCAGGTGCTCAGGTCTCCCTGGGGACCATGGGATGTGCACGCTCACACACAGACACGCATGGGGGTCATACAGGCACACATTCACAAGCACATGTGTGCCCACACAGACCCAGGCATACGCAGGCACACACTCACAGGCAGGTGTGTGAACACAGGCACATACAGACAAGCGGGTATTTGCACACATGGACACACATGGATGCACTCAGGCATGTACACACGTGTGCACTCATACATGACATGCACTCTCACACATGCGGGTGCACACCTTCCCCGGGTTCTCTCCCCACCCCACGTCTCACCGAGCAAGGGCTTGTCTCTCCCTTGTGGCTTTTGCTGTGTGGCTCCCCGCACCTGAGGCTGCGCTGGTCAGGACAGGTTGGGCCATGCTGCGGAAACAGCCAGGCCTGAACCCCAACGACTCAGAACAGCACGGGCGTTTCTTGCCCCTGTTGCGTGTCTGTTGGTGGGGGCCCTACCCGGAGGCGTGGCTGAGGGCTGCGCCTTCCCCAGTGTGCCGGCTGCTGGGCGAGGAAACGAGCACGGTGGAGCCACACGGGGCACCTGCAGCTTTGCTGGGCAGAGACTCCTCGCGCTACTGCTGCTCCCACTTCCTTGGCCAGGGCCAGCCTGTGGCCACGCCTGAGGTCATGGCAGGTGGGGATGGATGAGCCTCCAGAGGCGCTGGGTGGGCAGCCCCCGCCCCTCAACGCCTGTCACCTCAGGGCCTCTCAGGTGTGGCTGCAGCATCCTCTCCAGGAAGTCTTCCTGTTCACCCCAGCCAGGTACATGTGGTCAAGGACCAGGTGGCGGGGCAGGGTGAGCACATAGCCCAGGTCCCTGCTGTAAGGACCAGGTGGCGGGAGCAGGGTGAGTGTACAGCCCAGGTTTCTGCTGTAAGGACCCGGTGGCGGGGACAGGGTAAGCGCACAGCCCACGTCCCCGCTGTAAGGACCAGGTGGCGGGGACAGGGTGAGCACACAGTCCAGTCCCCGCTGTAAGGACCAGGTGGCGGGGACAGGGTGAGCGCACAGTCCGGGTCCCCGCTGTAAGGACCAGGTGGCGGGGACAGGGTGAGCGCACAGTCCGGGTCCCCGCTGTAAGGACCAGGTGGCGGGGACAGGGTGAGCGCACAGTCCGGGTCCCCGCTGTAAGGACCAGGTGGCGGGGACAGGGTGAGCGCACAGTCCGGGTCCCCGCTGTAAGGACCAGGTGGCGGGGACAGGGTGAGCGCACAGTCCGGGTCCCCGCTGTAAGGACCTGGTGGCGGGGACAGGGTGAGCGCACAGCCCACGTCCCCGCTGTAAGGACCAGGTGGCGGGGACAGGGTGAGCGCACAGTCTGGGTCCCCGCTGTAAGGACCAGGTGGCGGGGACAGGGTGAGCGCACAGTCCGGGTCCCCGCTGTAAGGACCAGGTGGCGGGGACAGGGTGAGCGTACAGCCCAGGTTTCCGCTGTAAGGACCAGGTGGCGGGGACAGGGTGAGCACACAGTCCGGGTCCCCGCTGTAAGGACCAGGTGGCGGGGACAGGGTGAGCGCATAGCCCAGGTCCCCGCTGTAAGGACCAGGTGGTGGGGATGGTGGGGACAGGGTGAGCACACAGTCCGGGTCCCCGCTGTAAGGACCCGGTGGCGGGGACAGGGTGAGCACACAGTCCAGGTCCCCGCTGTAAGGACCCGGTGGCGGGGACAGGGTAAGCGCACAGCCCACGTCCCCGCTGTAAGGACCAGGTGGCGGGGACAGGGTGAGCGCATAGCCCAGGTCCCCGCTGTAAGGACCAGGTGGTGGGGATGGTGGGGACAGGGTGAGCATGCAGCCCAGGTCCCTGTTGTAAGGGAAGGTCGCGCAGCTGGGCTGGAATTCTGGGCTCAGCCCCTCCCTTACTCACAGGCCCCCCTTCCTGGATGGTGGAGGTGCCCAGGCACCACCCTTGTTGTCTGCTCATGGCCTTGGGGTGGGTCCTACCGAGCTAGGGAAGCCTGGGGGCCGTAGGGAGCCCAGAGTCAGCCTGGAGGAGGTGGCGCTTTGGTGAGTTTGGAAGGCAAGCAGGGGTGAGCTGCAGGGGGCCAGGAAAGGGTGACTGTGACTCTGGGAGCAGCCGTGCCAAGGCCCTGGGACAGGAGGGGCTTGGCCAGCCTCAAGGCCTTACTCCAGCCCACTGCACTCTCAGATTCCAGCTCCCTGGGGCAGGTGAGATGGCCGAGCCAGGTCCTTGGATGATCTCTGTTCCTGTTCCCCTCTTCCCAGGAAGCGCCGCGGAGCCATCAACAGCAAGCAGCTCACCTACCTGGAGAAATACCGGCCCAAACAGAGGCTGCGGTTCAAAGACCCACACACGCACAAGACCCGGTGCTGCGTTATGTAGCTCAGGACCTTGGCTGGGCCTGGTCGTCATGTAGGTCAGGACCTTGGCTGGACCTGGAGGCCCTGCCCAGCCCTGCTCTGCCCAGCCCAGCAGGGGCTCCAGGCCTTGGCTGGCCCCACATCGCCTTTTCCTCCCCGACACCTCCGTGCACTTGTGTCCGAGGAGCGAGGAGCCCCTCGGGCCCTGGGTGGCCTCTGGGCCCTTTCTCCTGTCTCCGCCACTCCCTCTGGCGGCGCTGGCCGTGGCTCTGTCTCTCTGAGGTGGGTCGGGCGCCCTCTGCCCGCCCCCTCCCACACCAGCCAGGCTGGTCTCCTCTAGCCTGTTTGTTGTGGGGTGGGGGTATATTTTGTAACCACTGGGCCCCCAGCCCCTCTTTTGCGACCCCTTGTCCTGACCTGTTCTCGGCACCTTAAATTATTAGACCCCGGGGCAGTCAGGTGCTCCGGACACCCGAAGGCAATAAAACAGGAGCCGTGGCCGTGTGTGTGGAGTGGGCTACAGCGTCAGGCGGGGCGGGCTGGTGGCCTGGGGGCCCCAGAGGCTGCTGTCTGGATCCTGGGCTGGTGCCCAGGATGGGGCTCCCGCGTGCTCTTGCGCTGCCCTCTGGTGGCCGCTCTGGGTCCTTGCACCCCGACCCAGGGGCCAGCCTGCCCTGTCCTGTCCTGATACCGAGGTGGGAGCCCTGCCTTGGCCAGGGTGGCCGTGTTGACGGTTCTTGGGACTGTGACATTGGAAGGCGAGGCAGGTCACCAGCACTGTCCTCTGCAGGATGGGCTGGGATTCATTTGGCAGCTTCTCAGGGCCTGTGTCCGGCTGGTTGGTCCCTGTGCTGCCCAAACCAGGTGTCCACATTTCCGGCTCCGAGGCGCAGAGAAGGGGGCAGGTGGTGGCTTGGGTGGAGGAAGTCACCATCCATCAGCCCAGGGAGGGAGGGTGCCACCTGGGCACCTGGGGCTGGATGTGAGAGGCCTGGACCAGGGCCCGCCGGAGGGCGTGGACCAGATGCTCATGTGTTCCTGGGTGCAGTGTCTGTGTTGGGGGCTGGCCCCACCCTGGGCCGGGGTGCATGGAGGGCATGGCCCCAGCGGGGAGGAAGGTGGGCCTAGGGCTGGCTCCAGGGTGTGGAGAGCCTGGGAGTGGTCTCCGTCCTGGGGCCCCAGGAGGTTCCCGCAAGGAGCGACTGGGGCAGGTGCTGGAGGAGGTCAGTGGACAAGATGGGGAGATGTGGAAACCCCAAAAGCCCCTTCTCAGGCAGCCCTGCCCCCAAGACCGACAGATGGCTAAGGGGGCCGCAGACCTGGCTCCCCCAGCTCCTGTGTGGAGAAAGGGCAACAGCTGTCCCGGATGGTTATTCTCTCCTTTCCTCAAACACATTTGGAACTCAAGTAAATCCAATGCATGTTGGGTGAAGTTTGCTGTATTTTTTCAATCCACCAGCCAAGTTTTGGGGTCACCTCTGCTGGCCCTGTGTAGCCATGTCCCTGCCCCAAGAGGCTCACAGTCTAGCAGGGTTGGGGGGAAGACAGGCTGGTAAGCCTCCCAGTTACAGCTAGGGGTGCTCCACCTCGGGGGGTGGCGGGGACAGGGGGCATGGAGGTGGGGCCTTGGGGTGCTGCACCTTGGGGGGACTGAGGGACAGGGTGCATGGAGGCAGGGCCTCAGGGTGCTCCACCTTGCCGGGGGGACGGGGGAATGGGGGGCATGGAGGCGGGGCCTTGGCGTGCTCCACCTTGGGGGGCAGGGGAAATGGGGGCATGGAGGTGGGGCCTTGGTGTGCTCTACCTCGTGGGGCAGGAGAAATGGGGGCATGGAGGTGGGGCCTTGGTGTGCTCCACCTTGTTAGGGGGCAGGGGGACAGGGGCATGGAGGCGGGGCCTGGGGGGGGCACAGTGCAGAGTACCACGTCGGGAGGTGGGGGAGATGCCCCAGGTGGAAGGACTGCCTGAGCTGAGTGTGGAGTGGGGGTCCGCGCTGGCCAGGAGGGGAAAAGGGGTGCAGTCTGGATTATCCCATTGGTGGGATGGTGGCTGGCCTGGCAGGATCCCGAGACAGATGCAGCATGGGATGGGGCCCCAGGCAGAGCTCTGCAGGGAGGGGCTCTCCAGGAGCTGTGTGGACCCCAGGCCAGGCGGAAACCCAGGCCGAGGCCGAAGGTTGGGCAGGTCCCCTGGTGGCTCTCTGGGAGTCCAGGGTACCTGCCTCTGGACTCATCCCTCCAAGGGTCTCGGGAGAAAGGTCTTACTGCCCATTTTACAGATGGAACAGCTGAGGCTCAGAGAACCAAGACTCCTGCTTCAGGCGACAGTGTGTCCAGGGTGGGCCTGGCTGGTTCTGCTGCTAGCCCTGAATGGACTGAGGAGGATGTTGGTGGGGGTGGAGGGAGACGCTGGGGGCCCGAGGCTGGGGGTCCCGACTGAGGGGACCCCGTCCGACCGTCAGCCCCCAGCCACTGTGGCGCGCCAAGATGGAGACAACTGAAGATTGAGTGGCCACCCTGGGCGGAGGCTGCCCTCAATTTGAGTGCCTGCCCAGCCCCAGCCCCCAGGACCCTGGGACCCTGGCAGGCTGTGGCTTGGGCTCAGGCCCCAGTCAAGGTGACCCTGTCTCCAGGAGTGGACGGGTATCCACCTGCAGGGCACTTCACAGACTTCATAGTTTGTCTCTGTCCCCTGGGCCTGACCCTGAGTTTGTCCCCAAGTCCTGCCAGTGTCTCCTGGGGCTTGGCTTGGTCACAGCAGAGGGGCCTGTGGTGGGCAGGGAGCTGACACGCATAACGCTTCTTTTGTTGAATCTAGATCTTTCTTTCAAATGGAAAAACGTTATGCAACCAAGCTCTGTGGGGGGCGGATGGGGCAGGGCTGACCAGGTGGACACGGGAGGGGAAGGCGGTGGGTGGGGGAGGATGGCTGGAGGTCACTGCTTGGGTCTGGCCGACACCTTCTGGAGGAAGGAGAGCTGGCTGGTGGCGAATTCCCGGATGCTGGGCTCAGGGTCACTTCTGAGATGTTCAAAAGCTCCAGAAGAGGAGGAGCAGGTCAGAGGTGACCCCAGCGCAGGAGCAGCCCCTTTACTCCAGCCCAGGTGTTGGGGGGGTGGGGGGTGGGGTGGGTGGTGGGTGGGGCCAGCTCAGACCCCACCTCCTGTGACTCCAGGCCTGGGATGCTTCCCTCCACCACTAACCCACCACCCCCATTCCCCAGCCCCTTGTTCTGTTGGTGCCATGAGGCAGCTGTGGAGTGAGTGTGAGCCTTAGGCCCCAGGTGCCCTGATGGGGGCCTGGGGAGGGGAAGGGCCAACCTCAGCCTCCAGACATGAAGGTGGGATGGCGGCTGGGTGCTGCCCAGGAGGCCTGTGTCTTTGTCCTGATGCTGATGCTGGGTAGGGGGGGCAGGAGGGGGTTCCCTTCTGGGGCCTCAGTCTTGCTGTCTGTGCAGTGGGTCTTAAGAGTGCTTGGGCAGGGGTGGGAGGGTGCGGGCTGCGGGAGCTCTGGAGGGAGGGCTGCTTACTGCGGAACAGCAGGTTGGTGTCCACAGCATTCAGCATCTGGAACACGGCCTGGGGGTGGTAGCAGATGGTGTGGCCTGTGTAACAGACGGGCAGCTGGTGGCTCAGGGCTCCCTGTCTCCTGGGGGGCTGTAGCCCACCCCTGCCCCTCTTCAGCCCCAAGCTCCTCCTCATCCACCCCCTTTCCTCTCTTGTGGGTGGTGAGTCAGGGAGGGTCAAGGGTGCTTGGGTGGGGGCAGGCCTGGGGGTCTTTAAGCCCGGCCTCGCCCTCCCACCTATGAAGAGTGTCACCCAGGTCTTGATGTGGCAGGAGTGGCTGTGCAGGTAGCTGAGGGCCTGTGACAAGTGGATGCTGAATTCCTCCTGGCTGCGGGTCATCTGGCCGGAGGAGAGCACACCTGGCTGGGACGGGCTGGGGGCCCTGGGCATACCAGGGTCCTCCAGCCCCAGTTTGCCTTGCCCAGCCCCTGGAGCTGCTATAGCAGCTGTGTGTGAGACGGGAGTGAATGGGGGAGCCGCAAGCCTGGTCTCCCCCACTCCCTGGCCCTGTTCCTCCCCACCGATCCCAGGCCTCTCACCAGGCAGGTCCAGAGGAAGTGGCGGGCGCTGAGGCCCCTCTCCCAGGCCAGCGTGCAGAAGAGGGTGTGCAGTAGCCGCCAGCGGAGCAGCACAGCACAGCGGTAGAAGGTGAACTTGGCCTGCTGCAGGGACAGGCGTGGAGGGTCACCCACCGCCTATGTCTGAGCCCTTTCCCCTAGAGGCCACAGGCCTCCATGGGCACTGGAGGCAGCCTGCTGTGCGGGTGTTCCCTGGTTCTGTCCTGCTTGTGCCCCTCGGCAAGCCTCCCCGACCCTGGCAACAGCACCTGGCCCCCCGGAGCCCAGGCTGGTCTGCCCGCGGCCCTGGCCCTGCCCCTTCCACGGTTGCCCCGTATCCTTTTCCCCATGGCAGGGAGACCCGCGAGGCCAAGCTCTGACTTCGTGGGCTGTGCACAGGGCATGTGCTGCCACGGCAGGCAGGGCACAGTCCATATTCACACAAGCTCTGTGAGCTGCTGGACCCCCTGCCCCGTTACAGGGACTGGGGGCACAGCAGTGAGCAGAAAAGACCGGGTCCTGCCGCATCGACGGCAAGTCTCGCTCGCATGCGTGTGCGCAGTGGGGGAGCGGGCAGGCCAACTGTGGTCACAGAAACCAGTGCAGATGGCCAGACCCTCTGCCCGCCACTTGCTGCCCCGTGGGAGCTCCCCCAACTCTCAGGCAGTGCTGCTGCCATCCGTCTGCCCCGTACCCTGGCCTCCTGTGGGTCCCAGCCCTGGCCAAGGTGAAGGCCTATCACCTGCCTTTCCTGGGGTGGGCACTGACCGTGGCGACAGCTGGGCATTGGTCCTTCAGGTGTAGGAGCAGGGGCACCATGCTCTGGTGCACCTGGGTCCGCAGGCCGCTCAGCTCCCTGTCTGCCATGGCCGCCACCAGGTCCCCGAACAGTGCCATGGCTGCCGCCCGAATCCCGTCCCGCTCCTGCAAGGCAGAGGCTCAGAGGCACGGCCAGACCTGTCCAGGGGTCCCAGCTTTGGTCCAAGTTGGGACCCCACACCTTGTAGGGGTACAACTCAGTTCTTTCTGCAGGATTCCTTCACCCAGGCTCTCGGCTCCCGGGGAAGGGAAGGGCTGGGGCTCCCCCCTCACACAGGGCTCTCTGGTGTCCCTGAGGATGTAAGAATCACATCTCCCTTCTACCCACAACTGCATCCTGGCAGCCCAGGCCTCATGAATGCATTTGAGGGGCGCCTATCCCCCAGATTCCCCAGTGAAGGAAAAACAGCCACGCTAACCGTGCTGACATGTCAGAAAGCAAATCTGGGTAGGCTGTCGTGGGGCCGGAGACCACTGCACTTGGAGACTGAACGTGAGAACTAGTTCAGCCCTGTGGAGAAGGGGTGAGCGCCAGGGGCCCACCCAGCCCACCTGCTCAGCGCCCACCTCAACCGAGGGCCACAAGCGGGCAGCTCCCCAGGGCCTGGGCCTCCCTGCTTGCAGCTTGGGGTTCCCCCTTTGGCAGAGGAAGGGAGCTGGGTTGGGAGGAGGGTCCTGGAGGGCGTGAGCAGGAGGTAGCCCCGCCCTGCCCCAGTGCTCACGTCATTAAAGAAGGAGCGTGTGCTGATGGCAACGCCGAGGCTCTGACTCCCTGTGCCCTGCGCGCCCAGGCGGTGCAGCGTGTCTGACACGGTGCCCATGATGCACACGATCACCTGGTCGCTGCTCTGGAAGAAGCCGTCGAGCAAGGGCCGCAGCTGTCCCTGGAGCAGGCTTCCCTGGGGGTGGTGGCGGCTGGTGGGCGGAGAGCACTAGGACCCGCTGGCCCCATGCCCCCGCCTCGTTCTCCCACTTGACCCCCTCACCCCATCTGCACTGGGTGGGGGGGTGGGGGGTGGTGATTCAGAGCTGTGGGTCCCGGCCTGGCCCTTCCCGCCATGGGGAGCTGTGGGTCCCGGCCTGGCCCTGCCCGCCGTGGGGAGCTGTGGGTCCCGGCCTGGCCCTGCCCGCCATGGGGAGCTGTGGGTCCCGGCCTGGCCCTGCCCGCCGTGGGGAGCTGTGGGTCCCGGCCTGGCCCTGCCCGCCGTGGGGAGCTGTGGGTCCCGGCCTGGCCCTGCCCGCCGTGGGGAGCTGTGGGTCCCGGCCTGGCCCTGCCCGCCGTGGGGAGCTGTGGGTCCCGGCCTGGCCCTGCCCGCCGTGGGGAGCTGTGGGTCCTGGCCTGGCCCTGCCCGCCGTGGGGAGCTGTGCCCCTAACTGGGCTTTGTCCACCAGGAGCTGCGTGGTCTGGACAGGGTGGCCTCTTTTCTTTTTTGAGACAGGGTCTCACACTGTCACCCAGGCTGGAGTACAGTGGTGTGACCATAGCTTACTGCAGCCTTGACCTCCCAGGCTCAAGCAATCCTCCCAACATAACCTCCTGAGTAGCTGGGTCTACAGGTGCGTGCCACCACACCTGGCTATTTTTTTTTTTTGGGTGGAGATGGGGTCTCACTATGTTGCCTAGGCTGGTCTCAAACTCCTGGGGTTGAGCAATCCACCTGCCTTGGCCTCCCAAAGTGCTGGGATTATAGGTGTGAGCCAACACATTCGACTTGTCTTTTTTTTTTTTTTTTAATTAATTTTCAGCCAGTTCCGTCTTCTCCACTTGATTGCGTGTTTGCAGTGATTTCCTGAGTTATCGGGATGAATGGTCAGAAAGCAGTGTGCCCACCAATGGATGTTTCCTGCCATTGGGCCCCTTAGCAGTGACTTGGGTGCAAACCAGGGTGATTTTTACAACTTTTAAACAAGTTTAAAGCAGCTTTGTTGGCTTTCTTAGCTGTTTGCTTTGAAAATATTAAATTCATTTTCAGCAAGTGAGTCATTCAACAGTTACACTTTCTGAGCATCTATGTTTGCAGCCAGTGTTCGAAGACCAGGGTTCTGGCCAGGTCAGAGCAGGACAACAGAATGAAATTGTAATGGAAATGGTGAGAAAAGAAAAGAAAAATGCATAGCATGGCGTATTTCCACTCAGAGTGGAGTGGGGTGGCCTGCCCCAGCCACACCTGGTTCAGCCTTCCCATCCCCAAGCCGGCAGGCCTCCCTGGCTGGCAGTGCTCTCGGGGCCTGTCTCCTCTGGTCTGCTGTGGCTGCTTGCCCATATCCCACCTGATGCCAGGCGGGGAACCATTCCCTCTTCTCTGGACCTGGTCCTCCTGATCTAGCAGGGCCCTTCTTTGCCTTTCTGTATTCCCTGTATTCAGTGCAGGGTACAGAGGAGGCACATGGAAACTTCCTACTGATCATTTCCCTGCCTGAGAGAACATTTGGTGCACAGATAACCGAACACTGAATGAATGAATGAGGGAGCAAACGTGAATAACTGGGTGAATGAATAGACATAAAAAGAATGAACAAAATAAATAATGCAAGAATGGGTCACAGATGAAGGACCCAAGGAACAAGTGGGTGGGTGGAGGGATATGTGGGTGGACGGGGGGATCTATGGATGGATGAATGGACGGGTGAATGAGTGAGTAGATGGATGGAGCCATGGGTAGAGATGAATGGGTGGGTCGATGGTTGAATGGAGGGATGAATGGAGGAATGAATGGGTGGGTGGATGGATGGAGGCATGGGTGGAGGGATGCATGGGTGAGTGGATGGATAGGTAGGTGAATAGTTGGATGGGTGGTTGGATGGATGGAGGCATGGATGGAGAGATGAATGGATGGGTAGGTGAATAGCTGGATGAATGGGTGAGTAGATGGATGGATGGATGGGTGGAGGGATGAATGGGTAGATGGATGGGTGGGTGGATGGATGGATGGAGGGATCAGTGGATAGATGGGAAGATGAATGGGTGGGTGGATGGATGGAAGCATGGATGGAGAGATGAATGGATGGGTAGGTGAATAGCTGGATGAATGGGTGGGTGGGTGGATGGATGAAGGATGGAGAGATGAACAGATCATTGAGGAAGTGCTATCTAGTCTCCATCTTCCATTAAGCACCTACTATGCATCACGCACAATGCAAAGAGCTTTGCCAACTGTGACCCTGATGGAAGTCAGTCTTGTTAACCATGTGGAGGCCTGTGGTTGGAACAGAATCACAGTGAACTAGTCTGCTAGGCAAATGACTTTGGGATCTCTTTGGAAACGACCCCTTCTGCTGCCTTCCCATGATGACAGTTTTCTCCCACAAGCCCTGAAAATATTTATGTTCATAACAGCCTCCTCCAACAGCAACAGAAATGGGGGCTGGGCATGTCGCCTTCCCTCTGGGGTCTTAATGCAGCCCTGGGGTGGATGAGAGGAGGCTGAGGCTCCACACTTCCTGATCAGGTGAGAAAATTTCTGCCTCTAACTCAGCATTTTCAGGGTGCAGAGTCAGCCAGGCAGGAAGTTTGCTGCTGCTGCCAGCTGGTGCCCCTAGGGCTGACCACGTGCCAGGGACCGGTCTCTGCATGGCACTCATGACCTGCCTACCACAGGAGGCAGGCATTATTACTGCTCTCGTTGTACAGATGTGGTCACTGAGGCCTGGAGAGCTGACAAAGCCTGCCAGCTAGAAGGTGCTGGAGCGGGGATAGGTCTAGGGCCTGGACTCTTAACCACTGCATGGTACCCTGGGCCCCCACAGCAAGGGCGATGTCAGTTAAGTGGGGGGCTGTAGCTGGGGTAAGGGCAGATCCCCCAAAGGCGGCATCGCAGGCTTTCTCTCCCACAGCTGTCCATGATGGGATATGGGTTATTATGGTGATGAGGTAGAATTGGTTGGGACTGGAGAAGTCAGCAATGGGTTGGGGAGACCCATTCATAAGATTCTCAGAGGGCATTGTCCTCTCTGGGTGAGCCCTGGGATGCCATCTGGTGGGCTTCACGGTGACCACCTGGAGGTCTGCAACAAGGCCCCTCTCTCTTTCGGGCGTGGAGGAGACTCTGTGTCCGGGGAATAGACACTTTGACCCCTCCCACAACCTGCCCCATTCTACAGATGAGGAAACAGGCCCAGAGAGGTGGAGTCAGGTGTCCCAAGCCACACCACCTGAAGTGACAGAGCCGGGATTCCAACCCGGTGGCCCTTGCCTACACCCGGTGCACCGGCTGTTCTGTGGGGTTGCGTGTGCACCAGCCACAGTGCCCGACAGCCCTTACCTTATCTGGGTGGAAGAGGATGTTGCTTAGGCCCTGCAGACTCAACACGCGGACCTCAGGGCTGGGGTCGTGGAGGCCTTGTGCCAGCACGGTCAAGGCAGCTTGTTTGGGAAGCACCTCCAGCAGGACAGGGCTGTAGAGGAACTGAGGTGGCCCCCGGGAGGGCAGGCAGGTCACTCTTTTTTAGGCGCCTGCATCTGTGTTGAGGGGTGGGGCTCTAGGACCGGAGTCCGGTGGGAGTTTCAGGGAGGGAGGCTGACCAGTACCCTCTGGGTATCTTGGTGAACAAGTATCCTGGTTCAACCCCTCAATGTACAGCTGGGGAAACTGAGCCCCAGAAAGGGAAAGGGCCTTGCCTAAGGTCACACAGCGAGGCAAGGCCTCACTTTTATCAAGAGCCGAGCTTGTGGGGCACCTGGGGGTAGAGCGCCCATGGAGGGCGGCCTAGGCAGCTGGTGGGTGGGAGCTGGCATGAGGCTTTCGCTTGGGTTCCCCTACTAGTGTCAGTTACGGAAACAGCACCCTCCTCGCCCCAGTCCCACCCCTGCCTGAGCTCACAGCTGCAAAGTGTGCCACACCCAGCGGCATCTGCTTCTACCCATTCCCCTTTGGCTTTACCCTGAGTCCCACAGGCAGGACAGGGCTGAAGTTGGAGCCTAGACTTGCCTGAGTCTGCACCTAGTGCCCCTGCAACTCTGCAGGGATTGTGCCAGGGAGGGCCGAGTGGGGAGACAGGTCCCCAAAGTGTGCAGCCCCCCTCCAAGGGCTGGGAGTGGGAAGGCAGGAGTACGAGGGGGTCCGTCTGGGCAGCCTCCCCAGTCAGGGTGAGCTCTGGCATGGGTTCTGCTGGGGTGTCAAGGAGGCTGGAGAAGGAGGCTCAGACATCTGAGGTGCTCTCTGCTGGCCTGCATCCCTACCTTGGTGAGGATGAGGATGGCCACCTTCCTCTCACGCTCCTGTGGGCTCTGCAGGCTGGGCAGCAGCTGACGCAGCACCGCTGGGATCTGCCTGCAGTGGTTCTGCACCATGGCCCTGCAGGGGTGGGCCTGGGCTGGTGGTCACTGCTCAGAGCCCACCCTCCTGCCCCCACCCATCTCATCAGGGCTGGCATCCCGGAGGGTCCCAACGTGGCAGGCACGTTCCCACTTCCTTTCCACCCACTGGCTGCCCACTGCGTGCCAGGCTTGGGTTGGACATGCAGGAGACAGAGAAGCAGGCACAGCCCTTGTTCCCTAGGAGGTCACAGGCCAGGGTGAGGGCCGGGGGAAGACACTGCATCAACAGGCTCTGAGCGTGTGCCTGTGACCGGGGGCAGGGGGCCGTGTCCTGTCACTGCAGTCCAGATACCCAGTCCCCTGGATGGGCGTGGCCTGAAGCAGGCTGCCTCGACCTGCCCTGGCCCCACCGTACCTGGCAAGGAGGCCCACGCCCTTCGGGTAGGTGTGGATGGTGGTGAAGAGCTCCCAGGATCCCTGCAGCTCCAGGTGGGCAAAGTCATGCCAGTGCCCCGTGGTGGACAGCAGGCTCTTCAGTGCCTCCAGTGACGTGCTGCAGCTGAGCAGAGGGGGCTTAGGGCTTGCCTCAGGCCACAAGCAGCCCCCTGGGCCACCCCCTGCCCTGGGAAGGGTGCCCACCTGACCCAGATAGAAAGGCACGTTCTGGTTCCTATGCCTGGCGTCACTGAGGCCCCCTGGGGCTACTCCCTCCTGCCCTGTTTTACGCGGAAATGCTGGGACCCAGGATTGGCGGAGCCGGGCCGAGCATGGGGAGGCAGCATGTGCCCAGTCAGACCCCGGGCCTTGCTTGGGCAGGAGACCAGGGGGTGCCCTTCTAGGGAGGGGCACTCTGCTGAAGGGCACCTGCCCTTCAGCTCAAGGATGGCAGCATTTAAATATGGGCCAAGAGTATGGAGGGTAGCAGCGGGCGAGGGCGTGGGAGACTCAGGGCGTGTGGCGTAGCGGAGCCCAGAGAAGTGTCCATTCTCCACTCCTGAGACTCCTGCCCTCAGAGGACATGGAGAAACCCGCGGCACTGGCCCTCGCTTGTGAGTGACGGAGAAACCCGCGGCACTGGCCCTCGCTTGTGAGTGACGGAGAAACCCGCGGCACTGGCCCTTGCTTGTGAGTGACGGAGAAACCCACGGCACCGGCCCTCGCTTGTGAGTGCACGGCTTGTGGTGTCACCGTGTGCTTGGTAGTTGCCAGGTACCATGGATGGTGCCTCACCTGCCCAGCCTGAGGTGGCCCTCTACTGTCGCTGTCCTTCAGCAGAGGAGGGAGCAGTCCTGTCACACAGCCTGGGCAAGGGCACAGAGGTGGGGTCAAGCTGGGCCCTGGCTCCAAACCTGCCAGTGATGTCACTGTCACAGGATGTCACTGTCACTGAACGCAGTCCCTGGGGCACAGGTAGAAAGCCCCAGAATGCAGGCCCATGAAACATGAGATGGCCCTGGCTTGCTGGCCTGTCTCACTGTTCCAGCCACACACCCCTGGCCCGGCCCCTGTGCTCGGTCAGTGTAAGTGCATCACCCTGGATGTGTGAGCATGCCTGGACGAGGCTGTCAGCTTGGACCAGGCACGTTTCTGAGCAGATTTGCAAAACCAAGTGTCAAATGATGAAATGCCATCCGTGAAAGTTCTGACAGTGCCAATCCAAATGCCAGCTGGCTTGTCCTCTCACCCCAAGCTGTGTCATAAAAAAAGGCAGCATTTTCCAGGTCACTGGTCTCAGCCATAATGCGACAATGGTTTTCAGAAGAAGGGGACTTGGTGGGGGGAGTGGCATTTTGTTTGCTCTGGGAGGACTCCAGAAGCTTCTGGTCCTGTGACTTCTTGGGCACTGTATTGGCTTGTTCTTCAAGATTGCCTTGTCCCTGCAGCCCCAGCAGGGCTTCCAGAAAGATGGGCTGATTCAGCATTCTTGGGAATCCATGCCCAACTCCCCTGCAGGTCCATAGAACACAAAACCACCTCCAGCCCAGGACCCCCGGCAATGCTCAAGGACATGTGTCTCCTGAAATCCATACGCAGTCCCAAGACCGATGAAGGTGGAGCCCCTTGAGTCTCTGCCTCGCTGTGGACTCAAGGAACCATCCTCCGTTCCTGCTGGTCTCAACGTCGTTGCCTGCCTGCAGCCTCTTTGGACACTTGGCATCCCAGTGATGCCTGCCCCATACTCGACCAACCGTCCTTTCCCCACTCTGGCCCCGGAGAGGGCAAAGGCACCTGAGAAAGAGGAGGCAAAGCCCCTCTGCTTTCCATACTCCTCCCCAGCCTGAGGGTCCATGAGACCCTCTTCCCTCTCCCATTACCTCCTCCTCTTCTGGTTTTATTTTTAATTGTGGTAAAATGCACATCTCATACAATTTACCGTTTTAAGTGTACAGGTCAGTGGCATTGAGCATATTCATAATATTATGCAACCATCACCACCATCCATCTCCAGAACATTCTCATCTTCCCACACTGAAACTCTGTCCCCATTAAACATTAACTCCCCATTCTCCCTCCATCCAGCCCCTGGCACCCAGCATTCTACTTTCTGTCTCTGTAGATTTGGCTACTCATGGACCTTAAGTAGGTGGACTCACACAGTATTTGACTCAGCAGAATGTGCTCAAGGTTCATCCATGTTGTAGCATCAGAATTTCCTTCCTTTTCAAGGCTGAATAGTATTCCATTGTATGGATGGACCACACTGCTTATTCTAATTCACCCATTGATGAACACTTGTGTTGCTTCTACCTTTTGGTTATCATAACACTGCTGTGAGCAGGGCGTACAAATATCTGTCCCAGGTGCCTGCTTTCCTTTCTTTTGGGTGTACACCCATTAGTGGAATTCCTGGGCCATATGGTAATTCTATATTTAATTTTTGGAGGAACTTCCATACTCTGTTCCAAAGCAGCTGCACCGTTTTACATTCCCACCAACAGTGCACAAGGCTTCTGATTTCTCCACATCCTCGCCAACACTCATTTTCTGATTTTTTTTTGGACAGTAGCCAACCTAATGGGTGTGAAGTTCCTCCTCTTCTTTTGATCACAAGCCTTTGGCCCCAAATCCCCAGGGGACAGAGGGAAAGATGAAGATGAGATGAGGGTGAGAATGATGAGTGCCTTCGAAATAAAGAGAAACGATGTAGCCCATTTGAATTAAATAGAGTTGGCCCACATGGATGACGTGTGAGAACAATGAGAATTCCTTTGTGGGGCAGGGTGGAGACTGGCTGGAGGAGGACCCAGCTGAGAACTGACCAACGCAGGAAACATCTCTAAGGAAAAGGCTTTGTTAGTGGAGGAGCAGGGGAGAGGGAGGCCCCTCTGGCAGGCCTGGCAGCACCTGTTGCAGTCCTGCCCAGGGAAGGGTGCCCTGCTCAACCCCACTCGCTGCTTCCTGGTCCCAGAGGCCTGTCCATCTAAGCAGGACATGAGAACTTCAGAGGCCCAGGGCTGGCCCCATCAGGCCTCAAGACTCCCCTGCTGCCCCATGGTGTCCTGTGCCGCCCCCACCGTTTTGGGCATGCAGAGAGAGTGGCTACTCAGCACTGCTCATCCAGTTGTCCTTCTGGGCCCCTGTCCCCACCTTGACAGTGCCACAGCAGCCTGGCAGGGACCTCAGACCGTGAGCCACCGGGATACACCTGGGTGTCACTCTGCTCTCAGGCCTCCCTTTCTCCCTGGCTCCGTGGTGGTGCTGGGTGGCATGGCTGCTGGTTTGGCAACCGGAGCCTGGGCCCCTTCGCGGTGGTCGAAGAGGCCTGGGCCCATGCCGCTCCCTGGAGGGCGTGGGAGCCAGGCCTGGCCAGTCAGAGCCGCACAGGCCCCTGTGGCCAAGGTGATTGGTTCAGGATTGGGTATGTGAGCAAAGCTAGGCCAATCAGAGCCCAGGACTGTGCCCGTGGTGAGAGTTTTTTCTCTTGGGGCTGCGGGAGCTGCCGGGGCCACCTCCAGGGCTCCAGGAGAACCTGCCCGGAGCGGCCTGAGCAGAAACCACCCGTGGCCCCGCGCGAGGCAGAAGTCCCTGCTATATGGGGAGCCTGAGAGAGACAGACAGACGTCCCAGCTGTATGGGGAGCCCGAGAGAGAGACACGTCCTTGCCGGTGGGGGAACCCACGAGAGACAGATGTCTCAGCTGTATGAGGAGCCCCCAGTGAGACAGACGTCCCAGCTGTATGAGGAGCCCGAGAGAGACAGACAGACGTCCCAGCTGTATGGGGAGCCCGAGAGAGACAGACAGACGTCCCAGCTGTATGAGGAGCCCGAGAGAGACAGACGTCCCAGCTGTATGAGGAGCCCGAGAGAGACAGACGTCCCAGCTGTATGAGGAGCCCGAGAGAGACAGACAGACGTCCCAGCTGTATGAGGAGCCCGAAAGAGACAGACAGACGTCCCAGCTGTATGAGGAGCCCGAGAGAGACAGACGTCCCAGCTGTATGAGGAGCCCGAGAGAGACAGACGTCCCAGCTGTATGAGGAGCCCGAGAGAGACAGACGTCCCAGCTGTATGAGGAGCCCGAGAGAGACAGACAGACGTCCCAGCTGTATGAGGAGCCCGAAAGAGACAGACAGACGTCCCAGCTGTATGAGGAGCCCGAGAGAGACAGACGTCCCAGCTGTATGGGGAGCCCGAGAGAGATAGACAGACGTCCCAGCTGTATGGGGAGCCCAAGAGAGATAGACAGACGTCCCAGCTGTATGGGGAGCCCAAGAGAGATAGACAGACGTCCCAGCTGTATGAGGAGCCCGAGACAGACAGATGTCCCAGCTGTATGAGGGGCCTGAGAGAGACAGACGTCCTTGCTGGTGGGGGAACCCGCGAGAGACAGATGTCTCAGCCGCATGGGGAGGTCCCAGTGAGACAGACAGACATTCCCGCTGTATGGGGAGCCCCCAGTGAGACAGACAGACATTCCCGCTGTATGGGGAGCCCCCAGTGAGACAGACAGACATTCCCGCTGTATGGGGAGCCCCCAGTGAGACAGACAGACGTCCTTGCTGTATGGGGAGCCCCCAGTGAGACAGACAGACGTCCTTGCTGTATGGGGAGCCCGCGAGAGACAGACAGATGTCTCTGGCTCTTCGGGACCTTCCAGTCTATGGGTGAGGGCAGTAAAGCAGGTAAAAGGCGCAGATCACAGATGGTAGCTGATGGCGGGGCTGCGGCGAGAATAAAGCAGCAGAGGGTGGGAGGCGCCGAAGGGGCTGCTATTTTGGAGGGTGGTGGGGGAGGCCTCAGTGAGGTGCGGGTGAGCAGAGCCTGCAGAGACAGGATGGCTGGGGGAAGAACATTCCAGCAGGGGGAGGAGCAGACGGGGTGAGGCTTTCTCCCAACCCTCCCACGTTCCGGGAGGAGAAGGTTTTATTAGCTTATTAGGAAAGATTCATGCATTTTGCATGGTTGAACTGAATAAAAAAGGAACTTCGTGCACATTTGAATTCGGAGGCAAGATGAGAAGAAGTGGCATTTTTTTTAAGTGACTTGCCTTGGGGAGAGCTGTTAAAACTGACAAATTGCGTGACGCACATCATAATACAAACAAATGAAAAGAGTTGGCCCCAGCGGTTTTTAGACTTGCTTATTGGATTTTTGGAAATATGACCTGGTGCAGAGGGAAGATGAAGGCAGGCAGCCCTACTGAGGCCAGAATACGGTGGGCGGGGGAGCGGGCAACTGGCCGTGATGTCAGCCTGAGCATGTGCTGAGGACCAATGAGATGCCCAAGAGGGCATGGAAAGGCATCTGCCCCATGGGTGAGCCCAGTTCGCCTCTGCATGGACATGCTGTGTGGCCCAGGGGAAGCCTCTGACCCTCTCTGAGCCTCAGTTGCCTCATCTGTAGAGCAGGGACAACGACATTCATCTCGAGTCCTCGCAGGAAACCCACTGGGGTAAGATGTGGCTCACTGCATGGGTGCTTTTGGTAACTGCTGTCCCCTTGAGGTCGCTGTATGGCAGTGACACTAAGTATCTCTACTGCCAAGCACCGTCAGGTGACGGGTAAGTGGGACGAACACCTGTCTGCAGGTGCTGCCCACAGCCCCTGTGGCCCTGGCCATGGATGGGGCTCAGGTTCATGACTGTTGTGGGTTGAACTGTGTCCCCCCGAAAAGAGATATATTGAAGTCAACCAACGGTACCTGTGACTGTGACCTTATTTGGAAAGAAGGTCTTTGCAGATGTTATCAAGTTGAGGTCGTTAGGGTGGGGCCCTAACCCAGTGATTGGTATCCTTATAAGAAGGGGAAATTTATTCAGATGCTGAATTTAACTGTTCAACTGCTGAACCACTCAACAGACATGAACGAAAGCTTAATTCTGACAGAGCTGGAAAAAAAAAGGAGGAAATTTAAACACTGGCACACAAGGGAGAATGTCAGGTGACCACAGGGGCAGAGATGAGCGTGGTGCAGCCTCAGGCCCAGGAACACCCAGCGTGGCCATGAGACACTGGGAACCGGAAGCAGTGAGGAAGGCCCCCGCAGGTTTCAGGGGAGCACGCCCTGGTGACACCTTGGTTTTAGACTTCTGGCCTCCAGCACTGGGAGATGTTGCTTTGAGTCCGTGGGGTATGCGTCTTTGTTACTGTGCTCTATGAGGCTAACACAGTCTTTGCCCTCGGATGCCTGCGGAACCCTATGTGTGTCTGGCCAGGCCAGGAGGCCTGGGAGGCTCTAGTCTTACCTTTGGGGGCTGGGCACGGCCGCCTCCTGGGCCTGCTGCTTGGGCTGGGGCTCGCTGGGCAGGTTCAGCTCCAAGACATAGTGCATCTGGGTGAGGAGGGCCAGGAAGAGCTTGGGGTAGCCCTCCTGCACGGCCTGCTTGAACTCCCGGGCAAACTGCAGCTCGTGCAGCATGTTCATGGCCTGTCGGGGGCAGGCGTGGAGTGAGGCTCCCAGGCCCTGGGTCCCGGGACCAGGGGTTCTGACCTACTGTCCCACAAAAGCCACGTCCAAGCATGCTCGTCCCTCCCTGCTGCAAGCTCTCCAGGACCAAGTCCAAGTGTCCACATGCTGTCCCTCCCTGTGGGGCCTGACCCCGTGCCTCTGCAGACTCAGCCTGGCCGTCTCTTGCACCCTCTGGACCCACCGCTTGGGTCTCGCTGCTGCTGGATGGCCTAGTGGTCCCCAGCCTCCCCTAGCTGTCCACCTGGATGCTGTCCGCTCTACACTCCTGCAGACCTCCACCTTGACCCAGGGCCTCCCTCAGACCGCACACTGGATGCCACCATCTGCCCTCTGCACTTTGCTCCTGTCTAAGGGGTGAGCTGCTGGCGTCTGGGCCCTCTGCTCTACTGCCTTGAAGGCAAGGTCCTGTGCTGTGTGGTCTCACGGTACCCTCAGCTCTGTGGCTGGCACACAGCAGGGCCTGATGCCTGGGAGTTGGGGAACCCATGGCCCTGGAAGGCAGAGTCAGCTGATAGCAGCCCCCAACCCCAAAGGCCGAATGTGCCTGCCGGAGCCTTCAGTCCAGAATGTTCTCAGGGTGGGGCCAGCACTGAGCAGTGACAACTGGGGGGAGGGCAGGAACTGGCGGTGTGGTGGGGTGCAGGGAAGGCTCCCCTGCTACCCCTGGGTGGGTCTCACCCATGCTGCTGTGTGGTCCTCTGGTAGGGGGGCAGCATCAGCCCAGGGCCGACCGGGGCGGGGCTGTTGGGGATGGCCAGCTGATAAATCCCCAGGCCGAGGGGGTGCTCTCCCACCGGCTGCCATTGTTAAGCCCTCATCACACCCCTGCTGCAGGCAGCAGCTTGTCTGGGGGGCTCTGGGTGGTAGGGGAGCTGCTGTGAGCTCTGGGCCACTGCTGGGGTGCCTTTGGGGCAGGGACTCAGCCTGGAAAGCTCTAAACAGGAACACAGCTGTGGCCTCATCAGGGTCCAGGTAAGGGGGACAGGTGTGGCCATGCCAGGAGGGGAGCTCCTGGCTCCTGGGAGTGTGGAAGCAGTGCTGGGCTTATGAGGAAAACCAGGGGCTTCCTACAGGGGGGTGGCGGCTGCAGAGGGCAGCCTCTAAGATTCCTCTAGAATCTATGACTCCCCAGAACCCAAGCATGGGGAGGGTTCTCAACTCTCTCCACACCCTTCCCTATACCTGAAGCCCCTCTCTGAGGCCGCCCCACAGTGAGTGAGTGAGTTCCCTTGCCAGCCCAGGGGACTGACACGACTGTCCTGATTCACAGACAGGAGCTCACAGCCCTCGGCTAGGAGGTGGGAGCTGGGCCTGTGTGGTCAGCCCTGGGCGGCTTTCCTCCAGGCTGGGGCTGGACTGGGTGTCTGCAGCCTGGATATGGGGTGCCCCCCTACAGCCCGGCACAGAGTGAGTGCCCGAGGTGCTGCCAGTATTTGATGGGGCGGTGGCAGAGACTCACAGCCAGCAAACGCAGGTAGGTCTTCTCCTTGGGGCAGGGGCTGCTGTCGCTGGCACCGGTGGGCAGGGGTCGCTCCTGCAGACAGGCCAGCAGTGTGGTCAGCACCAGGTGGCTCGTGGGCTGCCCAGCCCCCAGGGCCCTCCACAGCTGGAAGGTGTGGCTGTGGGCAGAGAGGGCATGTGAGGGCAGTGCTGCCACCGAGGCCTGGCTGGGCTCAGCCACATGAGCAGGCCACCATCACCAGGGCCTGGGTGCCTGGAACAGCAAACTTAGGCTGGGCCCTGAGCTGGACCCTAGTGGGATGGGGCTCAGGGCAGATACGAGCATTGCAGGTTGGTGTGGGAGGGGCCCAAGGCGGGGGCTGGACAGGAGGCCCCTGGTCCCTGCCTGTGGTCTCACATCCACACCAGCCCCCTCCTGGATCTCCCCGCTTTCAAGGTCTCTCCGCCAGCTCCTCACTCATACTGGAGGTTTCCTAATGTGCCCTGTCTCCCAACTGCTTGTCATCTTCCCTGGCTCCCAGGTCCTGTAGACCACAGCCCCAGCCGGCACTCAAAGTCACGGCCTCCAAGCTCTCTGCTCTCTGACCTCCAGCCCCTGCCTGTCCTTCCCTTCCTCTGGGCCCCCACATGTGCAGGCCTGGTGTTTAGAGCACTCCTTGTCCCTGACTAATTCCCCCTCAGCCCTTAGGGCTCACCACAAAGTCACTTCCCTCTGGAAGCCTTCCCTGACTACTCCCTCCTAGTCCGGGTTTGCTGGGGCCCAGCTCCTCAGCTGGGTCCTCACTAGCATGAGCACAGTGCTTTACAGTTTGTAGAGTGCCCATTTTGCAGATGGGGCCACTAAGGACCGGAGAGAGGAGACCTGTCCTGATCAAGGCCCTGTCTTGGAACTGGGGATCCTGGAGGCCAGGGCTGTCCAGTCCTGTGGCCTTTCCATGGTTCCATGGGGCATGGCTCGGTGAGGCCTGGAGGGAAGGAAGGGACAGCTGGGTTGCCCTGAGGTGCTGGTGACCATGATGGCCCTGTTTACTGCCCTAAATGGTCTTAGGGTCTGAGTGTTGGGTGGAAGGGGTTCGAGGGGCAGGAGGGCCCCTGGCATGAGGAGGCTGGGGCTGCGAGGACCACAGAAGGGTGGCTCCATGCGCTCCCACCCCTGCTTTAAGACAGACTCAAGGGTGGCTCTCCTTAAAACCCTGGGGAAGCCACTCCAGGACCATCTGACCCTTGGCTAGGTGGGCACGACAGCTCGGAGGACTCTGTGAGTTTCCACCTAGCCGGAAAGAGCCGGGCCTTTGGAGTCAGAAGGGTCTAGGCTCAGACCCCTTCTCTGCCCCAAGCTGGCTGTGTGACCTTGGGGGAGTCACTTAACCCCTCTGAGCCTTGGATTCCTGGCCGCAGAGTAGTGGGCAATGCCTGCCTCAAGAGGCTTAAGCGGGAGGATTCTCCCCGAGCGAGCGTGCATGCCCAGAGGGTGGGTGTTTCTATTCTGCTGCCTGCGGGCCTGCCCCCCAGTCAGCAGGTGTGAGCCGAGCGCCACTGCATGCAGACAGTGTCCCGGGGACCAAGTAGTGGCGGAATCGGCAGGAGTCCCCGGCCTCCTGTGCATGACAGCCTCACGGGGACACAGCAGGAAGCGCAGTGTGCCGGATGCTCAGTGCTGCTTGAGAGAAAAAAGCAGCGTGGGGGGCGGGGGAGAGTCTGGGTGCCTTCGGTTTCAGACAGGGCAGTCGGGGACGCATCCCCTGAGAAGGGGGCACTTGAGCAAAGCCCTGAGGATATCGGGAGGGAGCCAGGCAGCGATGCGGGGGAGAGAAGCTTCCAGAGAGACAGCCCTGAGACAGCTCAATCCTGGTGTGTTCAGGGGACAGAAAGAAAGGCCAGTGTCATTGGGGTGGAGTGGGGAGGGGAGAGGAGGATAGGAAGACGGTGATATCATCGGGGCCACAGCACGACCTTGATGGCTGCTGTGGAGGCTTTGAATGAGATGGGACCACTGGAGGATCTTACGCAGAGACGTGGCATGGGCCTACGTGTGTTCTTCAAGGACTGGGGGGTGGGCGACTGGAAGTGGGCAAGTCACTGCAGGTGAGAGCCGGTGGTGTCCTGGACTAGGGTGGTGGCAGCGGGGGCGGGACACAGGCAGAGGTGGAGCTGGCAGGGTTTCCTAGGGGATGGGATGTGGGTGTAGAGGAGTCGGATGGCATCAAGAATTCCAGCCTGAGATGCTGGGAGCACAGAGTCACCAGCGGTGACATGGGGAAGCCTGCAGGAGGGGCAGGTTGGGGGAGGCCAGGGGTGTGGCCTGGCTGGGTCAGTGGGAGACGCCTGTGTGACATCCAAGGGCTGCCGTCAGGGGGTTAGGGGAGAGGCCTGGGCCAGAGGTGTCAGTATTTAGGGGATATTTGAAGCCACGGGAATGGAGGTGGTCACTGTGAAACTGAGTGTAGCTGAGGAGGAGGATCAGGGGTCAGCCCTGTGGCCTCAGGGCTATGAAATCTGGGAGATGAGGAGGAGCCACTGGAGGAGGCTGAGCGGGAGTGGCCGGGGAGGTAGGAGGAGAACCGGGGAGGGCAGCGTTCCCAGGAGGAGAGAGTCACTGGCTGAGTCAAATTCTGCTGACAGGTCACATAAGGTGGGGACAGAGAATGGACTATTGGACCTAGTGACGTGAGGTTACTGGTGACCTTGACGAGAACCATTTTATTGGAGCAGCAGTGGACAAAGTCTGGTTCATGTGGGTCTAAGAAGGAATGGGAGCTACAAGTCACAACCCAAAGACAAACAACCCAACTCCAAAGTGGAGAAAGGGCTTGAAGAGGCATTTCTCCAAAAAAGATAGACAAATGGCCAATAAGCACATGAAGAGATGCTCAGGGGAACACAAATCAAAATATGTCACTTCACACCTCCTAGGATGGCTACAGCCCCAAGATGAGAGACACCAAGTGCTGGTGAGTATGTGGAGAAACAGAAACCCTGGTACTTTGCTGGTGAAAATAGAGAATGGTGTAGTTGCTATGGAAAATGGTACGGCAGTTCCTCAAAAAGCTAAACATAGTACGGCCACATGGCCCAGAAACTTCACTCCTAGGTACACACCCAAAATAACTGAGAGAAGGGTCTCGAACATGCTGGTATGCCAGTGCTGACGGCATCGTTATTCATGACGGCCCAAAGGTGGAGGCAACCCGAGTGTCCGTCAACAGATGAATGGATAAATAAAATGCGGCCTACCCGTGCAGTGGACTATTATTCAGCAATGAAAAGAAATGAAGTTCCGATACATGCTACGGCATGGATGAACCTTGAAAACATTAGGCGGAGGGAAAGAATCCAGACCCGAAAGGACAAATATTATATCATTCCACTTACATGAAATGTCGAGAACAGCCAAATTCATAAGACAGAAAGTAGATTAGAGGTTATCAAGGGCTATGGGGAGGGGAAGATGGGGAATTATTATTTAATAGTTACACAGCTTCTGTTTGGAGTGATAAAAAAGTTTTAGAATTAGACAGTGGTGATAGCTGTGCAACAATTGCAAATATAATTAATGCCACTGAATCATACACTTAAAAGTGAATAAAATGACAAAGTTTATATTATACATATTTTACTACCATTAAAAATAATGTAATATGCCAAACCCATTGAATTGTACACTTTAAATGGCCAAATTGTAAAGTATGTGAGTTATATCTCAATAAATCTGTTTTTTAAAAAAAGGAATGAGAAGACTTCTTCATCCTCCAGTAGGGGTGCACTAAGCTACTTGAATCAGCTCCTCCATTGAAAACAACTATAAAGGTTGGAGAAAATATAAACATGTAGGCTGGGCATGGTGGCTCACATCTGTAATTCCAGCACTTTGGGAGGCAGAGGTGGGTAGATCACTTGAGGTCAGGAGTTCGAGACCAGCCTGGCCAACATGGTGAAACCCCATCTCTACTAAAAATACAAAAATTAGGTGTGGTGGCACATGCCTATAATTCCAGCTACTTGGGAGGCTGAGGCAGGAGAATAGCTTCAACCCAGGAGGCAGAGGTTGCAGTGAGCCGAGATTGCGCCATTGCTCTCTAGCCTGGGTGATGAAGTGAGACCCTGTCTCAAAAAGAAAAGAAAACATAAACAAGGGTCCTGAGAGTATTAAAGAGATGACAAGACTGTAAGAAACTGCAAGGCCAACATGTGGGGAATATGATGACCCTGAGGGGTTGGGAGCAGGAAAGCTACTGATGCCTTGGGGGCATCTGACAATTCTGGAAAATTAGATCCTTTGTTCTGACAGCCTTGTGGGATGAAGGGACAGAGACCTAAGCTCACAGACTGCACAACATGGTTAATCTCATAGGAGACCCTTGGCCACTTTCAGACTGGTGCCTAAGCAGGTGTGAAAAACCCAAGCAAATTTCAGCCACGTTTGAATTGAATGGGGGCATCCAGGGAATCTGAAGCACTGGATTTGGCTTAAGGTAATCACGGGCTTACCTTAGGTATCCTTAGGTGCTTGGCAGAGCAAAGACAAGTTGTTTTTGTTGGAGGAAAATACCTTAATTGTGGGCCCCAAATCATTCCTACATTTTTTTTTTCCAAAAACAACATCCAGTATGTAGTCAAAAGATAATCAGACACATGAGGAAGGCACACTCCATCGGTAACATACAGCAAGAATAACAAATAAAGTAGATCTGAAAACTTAGATATTAGAATCGTCAGGTATGAACTATGAAACAAATATTTGATTATGAATACAGAAATAAAAGACAAGCTTAAAAATGTCTTCAGGGACTAGGAACCTATAAGTGATAGAGCAGGTGAGAAAAAGAACCAAAATGACATTTTAGAAATAAAAAATACCAAATCTGAAATAAAAAAAATGCAATGGAAAACGTTAACATCACATTGACATGGTTAAAGGAGAATTAGTGAACTAGAAGATAACTCAAAATAAATTAGACAGAATTCAGCAATGAGGGACACAAATATGGGGAAGCAGAAGGGAAGTAAGAAATTGTGTTGAATATCTTCCGCTTGCTCCTGCAGATATAATCTCTGCTGCTCCCCATCCTGCCTCATGCCCCAGGAAGCTGACCTGTATACACTGCATCAAGAAGCTCTCTTGACCTTTGGCTTCCAGTTGACTTGGCTAATGGTAAGCACTAGCAAGAGGTCAGAAGGTGGGAGTGGAGGGAAGTCAGGGTATTTATACCGCAGAGTCTCTCCCTGTGGGTGGCCACAGGATTGCCGTGTCCATCTGTCCTGTGGTCTAGCCATATAGACATCCTTGGTTCTGGGAGCACTCCCATTCCCTGCCCCTTTAGGTCTAGAAGGTGGCAATGAGTCAGCATTGTTACTTTTCCTGGGGCACTGGCCCTTCCCCTGTCAGTCACATTAAACTCTACCCCTTGTCCAAGAGCTCTTTTATTAAATTTTCCACCTCAACCAATTTGAGTGTGTTATCTGTTCCCCCCAGCACTCTGAGTGATCTAGTGAAATAGAGGATATGGTAAGATATTGACATGTGCCTAATCAGTGCCCTAGAAGGAAAGTGAGAGAGAATGCAGGAGAAGCACTATGTGGAGAGATAATGGCTGGGATTCTTCCAGGACCAGAATATTCCAGAACAGGAATTCAAGACAGGATAAACATAAAGAAATCCATTCCTAGACACACTGTGGTGACTTATCAGACAAATAAAAACAAACAAAACAACAAACTTTCCCAAACCAGAAAAAACCAGGGTACTGTAAAACCAGTCACAGGATAAAGCACATAGCACGATGAAAAGAGCAGCAGTCCTGCTGAGAGCTGACTTCTCAACAGCAGCAATGGAAGCCAGTGACAGTGGGATGTTAGCTTGGCGTGCAGAAAGAAAATAACTGCCAATATTGAATTCTATACCCAGTGAAGTGTCTATCAAGATTGAAGATGAAATAAAGACATTTTCATATAAAAACTGAAAGCATTTGCTAACAGCAGACCCAAACTAAAGGGGGTTCTAAAGGATGTGCTTTAGGTTGGAGGAAAATGGCCTCAGGTGAGGGGTGTGAGGCTTAAAAAGAAATTAAGAGCAAAGAAAATAGTGAAAATGGGGGCAACTCTAAATGAATATTGACTTGTGAGATTTAAAAATATACAGAGTTAAACAACAAGGGCATTAAAATTGAGAGTGTGTTAAGTCAGTTGAAGACTCTGAAGGTTCTTTTTTTTTTTTTTGGTCTGGAAAGAAAGTAAAGATGGTAAATTCAATCCCAAATATATAAACAATTATATTACAAGTAAATTGAATAAATGCTTCAATTAAAGACAAAGGTCGTCAGGCTATAAAAACCCAACTAAATGCTGTTTACAAAAGACACATCTAAAACAAAAGAATGTAGAAATAGCAAAAGTAAAAGTCTGGAAAAAGGCATACTATGCAATATCAACAAAAGAAAACTGGTGTTATTATATGACTAGACACTTAATATTAGACAATATAAACTCTAAAAAACTATAGTAATATTAGGCAAATGGAAATCTCCAAGTATATGCAACAGAATGCCCTTCATATGAAAGTATAAAAATTATAACTCACATGAAATTATAATTTATATGAAATTAGAAAAACAATAAAGTACTTTTAGGAATATGTATAGGTGCAATAAAACTAAATAAAAGGAAAGCAAAGTAATGATGAACCTTAGATAGGGTGAGCCAGGGGAATGGAAATTAGCAATGGCGGACAACACAATAGAAACGTGTGCAGGATACTTGAATAGGCATATCACCAAAGAGGCTAAAAAGAAATGAAAAGATGTTCAACTTCTTTATTTAATCATGAAAGTGGAAACGAATACCACAATACTGATTAATAGCACCACCAGACTGACTAAAACTTTGATTACTGGCTAAAAAGTGAATGCTAAGTGTTAGTAAACTGCGGAGTAACGGGAACTCTAAAAAAAATACTGCTGAGAGTGTGAATCAGTACAAGCTCTTTGGAAACATTTTGCATTATGTATTAGAGTTGGATATATGTATAGCTTTATGATGCAGACATTTCCATCCTAGATGCATACACTGTGGAAACTGAGAGCTTATGTACATCCAGGCGCATGTATAAGCAAGTTCACTGCAGCGTTGCTAACCATAGTACCAAACAGGAATTGACCCAAATATTGACCTCTAGTAAAAAGAATAATTGGCATTCATAAAATGGAATACTATACAGCAACAAAAATGAATGAACTACAACATGTTAAAATGAATCTTAGACACATCATATTGGAGGAAAAAAATAAGCCAGACATGCTGGGCATGGTGGCTCATGCCTATAATCTCAGCGCTTTGGGAGGTCAAGGTGGAAGGATTGCTTGAGGCCAGGAGTTTGAGATCAGCCTGGGCAACATAATGAGACCCCATCTCTTCAAAAAAAATAAATTAGCCAGGTGTGGTGATGCATGCCTGTAGTCCTAGCTACTCATGAGGCTAAGGTGGGAGGATCACTGGAGCCCAGGAGTTTGAGGTTACAATGAGCTATGATTGTACCACTACACTCCAGCCGGGGCAACTAAGCAAGACCTTGTCTCAGCAAACAAACAAACAAACAAACAAACACCCAAGCCAAACAACAGAAGAATATTGGAAGACTACATATTGTACAATTCTGTTTATACTTTTAGGACACACCCCACCATGATTTCACGTATTTCTAAGAAAGAAAAAATGGCCAAGATGGGAGTCTTATAGGAGACCCCAACATAGAGCTGGGACCCAAAGGTCTGCATGTACGGTTTAAGGGTGATCGAAATAAACAAACAAAACTCGGCCCTGCAGAAAGAAAAATCGAGAAAACTGTCATGCTTCAGTCAGCACACTGGGTGGAAGTGGGAAGGGGTACGAATGTCCTGAGGATTTGAACCCAAACCTCTTTGGATGCCTGAATTCACACCAATGTGGCCCAATAAAATCTCAAGCAGAGACTTTTAAATTGAAAGTGGTCTCAAACTAACAGTGCCCCCAGGTGCCTGGCAGAAAACTATATAAATCCAGGTGTAAGGCACCATCAGTGAAAAATGCACCCCGATTTCATAAATGTTAAAATGTAAAAAAAAATGCTTCTTAGAATTGAGGAAATAAGATAAAAATTCCAATACATAAAATAGAACTGTAAACTTCTAGGTAGCTGAAGACGATGCCTGTTGCCTAGGCCTCCACCTCCCAAAATTTCCTTGAGATACAACAGAAAAACAAGAAGGGAAATAAAAATGCACAAAAACTATGACTCCAGTGCAAATTCAGAGAGTTCCCAAACTTCAAAATTAAGCACAAAGAGAAGAGTATCAACCTTAGCATGAAATCTCTACTGCTCCCACCCTATCCCGTTCTACCATAAGGCTTTGATAAAGGCAGGCTGAGAGAAACTGAGGGGAAAGAGGGAAGGGAGGAGTTAGCAACAGGGCTTGAGATTGATATAAAGCCTAAAGCACCTTCTAGAAGACTAAGTCCACCCTAAGTCTTAAAAAAAAAAAAAAAGTTCAAGTGTCAGAGCCCCAATCACATAGCAGTGACTTAAAAGTCTGCCTGCTTTGGAGGGCGGTCTTCAAAATGCACAGATTTTGGGAAAGGAAAGGGCAAAAAAGAAAGCAGAGGTATCCTTTGGAGATTAGGTGGTGATAGGGAAAGAGGTAAAAGGGAAAAATGTATGGCCCTGCAATAGAAATGGAACCAAAACATTGGAGGATCCATAATCCTTTTGCTTACCACCCAAACAGTCTATTAAATTATCTGGACTTTGCTGTATTGACAGAAGAGGGTGCCATTGAACTTAAAATCATATAAAACACGCAAAGAACACAAACATGAACAGGAACAAAATGAACAGATCCATAGAATTATTGTAAAAAATGAGAAAACAAAAATCAGCACACACAAAATAAGGAACTCCCCCTGGAAAAAATCACGATGCAGGAAAAAAACCCTAAGACAACATTCATTCTACGTGTCATTACATATGCTCAAATAAGCATTTAAAAATGTGAAAACTACCTTGAATTATGAGTTCAAAAAAGGACAAAAAAATCCAACAGGATCTGAAAAGAGAGTTGATTGACTTCAGGAAAGAAATGGATGAGATGAAAAAATTATCTCAGAAATGAAGGAAGAGTACAAGGTGTCCAAGAGAGATAAGACTCAAATGATAATTTAATAAGGTGCATTTAGGAAAACAAGAAAAGCAACCAAGAGAATGAAAGTGAATTTAAGAAAGAGTAAAAGGGGTCAGAGGGAAAGTAGTGAAAATGGAAGACAGGAGGAATAGCATTTGTATTACTGGAGTCCCTGAGGAAGAAAAACAGCAATGGAACATGACTAATATTTAAAACTGTAACCAAGAAAATTTTCCAAGAATAGCAACCTCAAAAAAATTTCAATTCTTTTTTTTCTTCTGCCCGTGGACGCCCCTGAAGAAGCATCGTTAAAGTCTCTCTTCTTCCTGCTGTCATGTCTAAGTCAGAGTCTCCTAAAGAGCCCGAACAGCTGAGGAGGCTCTTCATTGGAGGGTTGAGCTTTGAAACAACAGATGAGAGCCTTGAGGAGCCATTCTGAGCAATGGGGAATGCTCACGGACTGTGTGGTAATGAGAGATTCCAACACCAAGCGTTCCGGCGGGAGTTTTGGGTTTGTCACTATGCTGCTGCGGAGGAGGTGGATGCAGCCACGAATGCAAGGCCGCACAAGGTGGATGGAAGAGCTGTGGAACCAAAGAGAGCTGTCTCAAGAGAGGATTCTCAAAGATCAGTTGCCCACTTAGCTGTGAAAAAGATATTTGTTGGTGGCATTAAAGAAGACACAGAAGAACATCACCTAAGGGATTATTTTGAACAATTTGGGAAAATTGAAGTGACTGAAATCACGACGGGCCGAGGCAGTGGCAAGAAAAGGGGCTTTGCCTTTGTAACCTTGGACGACCATGACTCTGTGGATAAGCTTGTCATTCAGAAATACCCTACTGTGAATGGCCACAGCTGTGAAGTTAGGAAAGTCCTGTCAAAGCAAGAGATGGCGAGTGCTTCATCCAGCCAAAGAGGTCGAAGTGGTTCTGGAAACTTTGGTGGTGGTGGTGGAGGTGATTTTGGTTGGAATGACAACTTTGGTCATGGAGAAAACTTCAGTGGCTATGGTGGCTTTGGTGGCAGCCATGGTGGTGGTGGATATGGTGGCAGTGGGGATGGCTATAATGGATTTGGTAATGATGGAAGCCATTTTGGAGGCTACAATGATTTTGGCAATTAGAACAACGAGTCTTCAAATTTTGGCCCCATGAAGGGAGGAAACTTTGGAGGCAGAAGCTCTGGCTCCTATGGTGGTGGAGGCCAATACTTCGCAAAACCACGAAACCAAGGTGGCTATGGTGGTTCCAGTAGCAGCGGTAGCTATGGCAGTGGCAGAAGATTTTAATTAGGAAACAAAGCTTAGCAGGAGAGGAGAGCCATAGACGTGACAGGGAAGCTACGGGTTACAACAGATTTGTGAACTTGGTCAAGCACTGTGGTGGCAGGGCCTAGCTGCTACAAAGAAGACATGTTTTAGGCAGATACTCATGTGTATGGGCAAAAAAACTCGAGGACTGTATTTGTGACTAATTGTATAACAGGTTATTTTAGTTTCTGTTCTGTGGAAAGTGTAAAGCTTTCCAACAAAGGGTTTTAATGCAGATTTTTTTTTTTTTTTGCTCCCATGCTGTTGATTGCTAAATGTAATAGTCTGATCGTGATGCTGAATAAATGTCTTTTTTTTTTTTTAATGTGTTGTGTAAAGTTAGTCTACTCTGAAGCCATCTTGGTAAATTTCCCCAACAGTGTGAAGTTAGAATTCCTTCAGGGTGATGCCAGGTTCTATGTGGAATTTATGTACAACCTGCTTGGGTGGAGATGCCATTGTCTTCAGAAACCTTGGTGTAGTTGAACTGACAGTTACTGTTGTCACCTGAAGTTCACCGTTAAAAGGGATGGCCCAAGAAAAGTCATGGAATTAATTGGTTATAAAAATGATTGTTGGCACATCCTATGAAATATATGTAAATTGAATAATGGTACCAGATAAAACTATAGATGGGAATGAAGCTTGTGTATCATCCATTATCATGTGTAATCAATAAATGATTTAATTCTCTTGAAAAAAAAAAAAGATCTCAATCTACATAATCAAAGGAGGTACCAGGTGCCTGGGAACATTAACCCCGAATGATCAGCTCTGAGACATTTCCTAACTAAATGATTAGATTTCAAAGATTACAAAAAAATCTTAAAGTCTCTGGGCAAAAAGAGCAAATAACTTACAAACGCCAAAAAAACCCCTATTGTCATTAACTTTTAAAAAACAACGCAAGGCAACGATGCAACAGCATTTAAAAAATAATAAAAGAAAATGTGAACAAAGAATTTTATATCCAGCCAAACCATTCTTCAAATAAAGAACTTTCAACATAAAAGAACCTAAAGAATTCTGAATCTTTTGGAGGATGAGCTTCTTCAGACTAAGATGACTGGAAAACTTCAGCCTAGGAACTGATGGTGTGCCTGTAAACACAAAGTATGGAGATGAGGGTAGAGCAGTAGAGTGTGAATGTTCAATGTTTTGACAAAGTACAAATATGTAACTGAAAAATGGGAGAAGGAGACAGAAAGAGGAAAATAGAACAATTTCACTAATTGTTGTGCAGAAAACAGGTGGGAATTAAAGAGTATTGGGGTAGGAGGTGGGACACGGATACAGGACCAAATTGACGACTAGCTATCACAGGGATAGGGCAGAAGCACCTTTCCATAAGGCACGCCCACTGGCGCGCCATGTCAGTTTACCATTGCCATGGCTACACCAGGACGTTACCACCTCTTTCCATGGCAATGACCTGACGACCCTGAAGTTACCACCCTTTTTCTAAGAATTTCTGCATAACCTACCCCGTAATTTGCACATAATTAACTGCAGAAGTGCCTCTGAGCTGCTCCTCTGGGCAGCCCTGCTCTGCAAGGAGCAGGCCTCTGCTGCTGCTGTGCAGGGCCGCTTCAATCAAAGTTGCTGTCTAACACCATGGGCTTGCTCTTGAATTTTTTCCTGGGCAAAGCTAAGAACCTTCCTGGGGTAAGCCCCACCTTTGTGGCTCACCTGCCCTGCATCAGTATCAAATAAAAAGGATAAACCTGGCCGGGCACGGTGGCTCACGCCTATAATCCCAGCACTTTGGGAGGCCGAGGAGGGGGTGGATCACCTGAGGTCAGGAGTTCAAGACCACCAGCCTGGCCAACATAGCAAAAGCCTGTCTTTACTAAAAATACAAAAATCAGCCAGGCGTGGTGGTGCACACCTGTAATCCCAGCTACTTGGGAGGCTGAGGCAGGGGAATTGCTTCAACCCAGGAGGCGGAGGTTGCACTGAGCTGAGATTGCACCACTGCACTCCAGCCTGGGTGACAGGGCAAGACTCTGCCACACACACACACACACACACACACACACACACACACACACACAAAGATAAACCTGATGTTAAAGGGCTGAATAATAAAATGGGGACTAAGCGACTAAGGGCATTAAAATAAGTTAGGAGCACAAAGGTAACAACTAGGATGAAAATACATTTCCTAGATTAAAACAAAATTGAAGCTGAAGAGCAAAGAATGCACCTCTTGTAGAAAAAGAAACAGCAAATGTCATGAAATACACACAACTACAAAATGTCATGACAGACAAACATATCAATCGCATCAATATTGACAAGCTTCACTCACCTATTACAAAAGATTTTCAATTTGGATTACAAATCAGGACAAACTTTGTGCTGTATATAAGATGGAGACCTAAAACAAAGGGATTCCCAAAGGCTAAGATAAAGAAGTAGAGAAATGCATACTGGGCAAATGGAAAAATAAAAAAGCAGGTTAATGATTCTGAACAGACAGTAGAATTCAAGTCCCCAAAACATTAAGTGTGACAAAGCAGGGCATCTCAATAGTAAAAGTCATGGTTCATAAATATATAGAATACTTATGACTATGTATGTGCCAAATAACATGGCAATCACCTTCACAAAGTAAAAGTCCAGGGATTGAAAGTATAGATAGAGACACACCAATGTTTCTTTAGTGAGACTTTAACACACACTCAGTCCAAGACAGATCAAGAGGACAGAAATTAAGTACGTAGAAAACCTCGACAACACAATCAAGGTAAACCTTATACATATAGAGGCACACCTCGTTTTACTGTGCGTCACTTTATTGTACTTTGCGGATATTGCATTTTTTACGAGTTGAGGGTTTGTGACAACCCAGCGTCGAGCAAGTCTGTTGGTGCCATTTTTCCAGCAGCGTGTGCTCACTTCATGCCTCTGTGTGATATTTTGGTAATTCTCACAGTATTTTAAGCATCCTCATTATTATTAATCTGTTATGGTGATCTGTGATCAGTGATCTTTGCTGTTACTACTGTAATTGTTTTAAGGCACCATGAGCCACACTCATATAAGATGCCAGACTGAATCCATAGATGTTGTGGGTTCTGACTGCTCCACCCACTGGCCGTTCCCCCATCTCTCTTCCTTTCCTTGGGCCTCTCTATTCCCCAAGACACAACAACATTGAAATTAGGCCAATTAATAACTTAACATGGGCTGTAAGTGTTCAAGTGAAAGGAAGAGTCCCATTTCTCTCACTTTAAATCAAAAACTAGAAATGATTAAGTTCAGTGAAGAAAGCATGTTGAAAGCCAAGATAGGCCCAAAGCAAAGACTCTTTTGCCAAACAGTGAGCCAAGCTGTGAATGCACAGGAACAATTATTGAAGGAAATGAAAAGTGCTACTCCAGTGGACACACACATATGAAGAAAGTGAAACAGCCCTTATTGCTTAGTGGTTTGAAGAGATCAAACCAACCACAACATTCTCTTAAGCCAAAGCCTAATCTAGAGCAAGGCCCTAACTCTTCCACCCTGTGAAGGCTGAGAGAGGTGAGGAAGCTGTAAAAGAAAAGTCTGAAGCTAGCAGAGGTTGGTTCGTGAGGTGGAAGGAAAAAAGCCATCTCCACGGCATAAAAGTGCAAGATGGAGCAGCAAGTGCTGGTGGAGAAGCTGCAGCAAGTTATCGAGAAGATCTAGCTAAGATCACTGATGAAGGTGGCTACACTAAACAACACATTTTCAATGAAGAAACCACCTTCTATTGGAAGATGCCATCTAGGACTTCCATAGCTAGAGAGGTAAAGTCAAAGCCTGGCTTCAAAGCTTCAGAGGACAGGTTGACTCTTGTGTTAGGGGCTAATGGAGCTGGTGATTTTAAGTTGAAGCCAATGCTCATTTCCCATTCTGAAAATCCTAGGGCCCTTCAGAACGATGCTAAATCCACTCTGCCTGTGCTCTAGACATGGAACAACAAAGCCTGGTTGACAGTGCATCTCTTTACTTCATGGTTTACTGAATATTTTAAGCCCGCTGATGAGACCTACTGCTCAGAACTAAAAGATTCCTTTCAAAATATGAGTGCATATTGACAATGCACCTGTCACCCAAGAGCTCTGCTGGAGATGTACAAGGCGATCGATGTCGTTTTCCTGCCTGTGAACACGACAACCATTCTGCAGCCTGTGGATCAAGGAGTCATTTTGACTTTCAAGTCTTATTATTGAAGAAATACACTTTGCAAGAGGGTAGCTGCCATAGATAGTTGTTTCTCTGATGCATCTGGGCAAAGTACATTGAAAACCTTCTGGAAAGGATTCACCATGCTAGATGCCATTAACAACATTTGTGATTCATGGAGAGGAGGGCAAAAGAGCAACATGAACAGCAGTTTGGAAGAAGTTGATTCCAGCCCTCACAGATGACTTTGAGGGGCTCAAGACTTTGGTGGAGGAAGTAACTGCAGATGTAGTAGAAATAGCAGGAGAACTAGAATTAGAAGTGGAGCCGGAAGACTGAATTGCTGCAATCTCATGATCAGACTTGAAGAGATGAAGAGCTGCTTCTTATGGATGAGCTAAGAAAGTGGTTTCTGAGATGGAAACTACTCCTGGTGAAGATGCTGTTGAAATGACATCAAAGGATTTAGAATATTCCATAAACTTACTGATAAAGCAGTGGCAGGGTTTGAGAGAATTGACTCCAAATTTGAAAGAAGTTTCACTGTGGGCAAAATGCTATCAAACAGCATCACATGGTACAGAGAAATCTTTCAGGAAAGGAAGAGTCCATTGATGCTAAAACGTCATTGTTGTCTTATTTTTAAGAACTTGCCAGACACCTGAACCTTCAACAGCCACCACCCTGACCAGTCAGCAGTCCTCACCACCCACCAGCAAGAGGATCCCGACTTGCTGAAGGCTCAGATGATCATTAGCAATTTTTAGAACTAAAGCATTTTTAAATTAAGGTAAGTACATTGTTCTTTGAAAAGACACAATGCTATTGTCTACTGACTAGACCACAGTATAGTATAAACAGAACTCTTATGTGCACTGGGAAACACGGAGGCACACGTGACTGCTCTATTGTGGTGGCCTGGAACCGAACCCGTAATATCCTGAGATATGCCGGTATCTCAAACTCTACACCCTGACAACAGAAAATACACCTCCTTCTTGAGTGCCAATGGGACATTCACAAAAAGCATTTAAAAGATTAGTAAATTTCATAAAGTAAAAACTTTACAGACAACACTCTCTGACCACAGTGCAGTAAAACTAGAAATTATTCACAGAACCACAAATGCGCTTCCACATGGAAATTAGACATCTTCCTGGAAACAACTCTTGGGCTCTGGGAGCTTATGACACCCCTGTTCTGGTGGCTTCTGAGTGTTCAGTGAAATGGGAGCAAGGCCAGCAGCTGGGGCCAGGGACCTGTGTGTGTGCGGGAGTCACTGTCTCACTGCCAGGTGTGCCCCAGGCTGGAAGGAGGGTGACAGTGAGGACAGGTGAGGGGGAGTAAGAGGGGTGCAGGGCAGTGCACGGCAGGTCCTGGGGACAAGGCTCGCTGGGTCTGGAGGCGAGCTGTAAAGGTGGGAGTGCCTGAAGCTGGTGATGGTCACACCAAGGGATGGCCGGGGGAGTGGGTGGCTGTGGGGGATGGAAGACAAGGTCCTTGGGAGGGAGGAGATCCAGGCCTGGAGAAGTCAGGGTGAGGGGAAGACAGGGAAATCCCCCAGGAGTCAGGCATGGGGAGTGAGCTAGGGGGTGTCCCTGACTGGAGCGAGGGGCCATCCAGGACAGGTGCATGGTAGGTAGGTGGCAGGGGGTATGGACTGAGGACTTGGGAGGCAGAGCTGGGACTTTGGGAAGGAAGGGCCATGAGCAGTGACAAGGACCCTAGCCCATCTCTAGGCCCAGGGGTCTGAGGGCTGTGAGAGAAAAGCCAGCCCCACCTGAGAGGGCTTTGATGGCCTCTGGCGGATATAGTGGGGTGGTCTGTAGAGGGGCAGGAAGGAGAATAGAGTGTTTGTAGATGAGAAGAGACAGAGGGGTTTGCTGCTGGGCGGCGAGGCTTCAGTGTGGGCTGGGGTCTTGCCAGGAGCACCCAGGGTCCTGTGGCCTCTCCATCAGGTGACAGTGTGGCCTGGCTGGGGCAGGTGTTTCATGTGGAGCCAGGACAGGAGACAGTGAGCAGTGCCTCCCATGTGCCCGCCCAGGAGGTATGCAATGATGAACAGATGTGGGCTCCCTCCAAGCACCCAGCCCTATAGAAGTCCCTGTGGGCCATGGCGGGGGCAGACAGGAGGGCAGAGGTCACCACCCCTGCCTGGGGAGAGGATGGGGAGTGGGCAGTGAGGCAAGAGGGGCAGGCACCTGTCCAAGGGGATGGAGATGTTCAGGAAGGTGGCCACCAGCTCACAGGTGTGGCTCCGGGCCAGCAGGGTGATGGCGTGCAGGGTCTTTTCCTTGGCTTGCGGGATGTGGACAGAGCACAGGCGGAGGCGGATGGCCTGGGCCATGCTGGAAACCTGTGCAGAGAGGGAGAGGTCTGGCAGGGAGGCCCAGCCCTGCCCTGGGAGCCTGAAGGCAGAGGGAGGTCTCACCCTGATGAGCACAGAGCCCCTTCAGATATGGCCCTGTCCTGAGCCATCTGGGTGGCGGGCCACAGCCCTGCCCCGGATGCTTGGTCTGAAGAGAAGTCCCAGTCTTGGGGGGACAGGTCCTGCCATGTTCTGCATGGCATTTGAGGTCTTTGTATGCTGTCCACACTGCCCAGGTAGACACTGGAAGGTCCAGGCCCCCTGCCTCCCATCTCATTCTTAAACATGCCACTTTGCACATGGGGTGCCCTGTGCCTGGGGCACCCTGCCTTCTCCTTGGGGTCTCTCCTGCTCATCCCTAATGCCCAGTGCCAGTCTCCCTGTCTGAGCTCACCCACTTGCAGGACTTGGCACTGGGCATCCTCTCTCTGGGGTGCACCCCTCACCTCCCTGCAGGGTCCTCCTCCCCCACATCATATCCCCATACGCTGTCCAGGCAACATCTGCCTGTGTGTCCGTTTTCCCCGAGACCTCAAGCTCCTCGAGGGGCTGGTCTGTGCTGTCCCCTTCCTTTCCCACCATTCCGCACACAGAGGCTGCTCAGACCCCGCAGTCACCACCCAGGACCCAGGGGACTTGCTTGGGCCATTCATTCATTCATTCATTCGCTCATTCAAAACCATCAGACTAGTTGCTTCCTAGGGTGGGATCTGTGTCTCCCCCATCAGGCTCAAGGACCTGAGCCCTGGATGCTGACTGCTGGGCCCGCCCTCCGCCCCCTGGCCCTTCCTGGCCCTTCCTGGCCCAGCCCCAGCGCCCTCACGATCTCCAGCTTGGCCCCGTGCTCCTGGACGGCTGTGAGCAGCATCTCGGAGGCTGCCTGCACGCGGAAGGGGCTGGTGGAGCCCAGGCCGTCGATGGCCGTCCAGATGAGGTCGCTCAACTCTGCCAGTGTGAGCTGCTGCATGATATCCTGTACAGCGGGGGTGGAGAGAGGCCATCACCTTGGGCCCCCTGGGCCTGGGCGTCCGCCTCCCCACTTCTGCTTTTACCCCTTCTCCTTTGTCCCAGGATCTTGCAAGTCTCTGAGCATATCTGGCCTCCTAAGCCCCACTCCTCTGGGTTCCAAGCACCCGTCAGTGATTTGCAGTCTAGACTTGCGCACGTCCACATCTGTCAGAGCCAACCACGGCCCCAGCTCTTTCCCACGCTGACACTCCGTGCTTGTCTTAGGACTGGGTGGCCAGGCCAGCCTCCCCTCTCCCCTCCTCTGCTGTCCTCTGCCCATAGGGCTTCCTCATCTGCCAGCCTCAGCCCTGTGGGGTGTCTCCCTGCCAGGCTCCAGTCCTCCTTATGAGCATTTATCAAAGAGAAAGTGAACTTCCTGGCTGTGAAGGAGCTTCGAGGTCACCTGGGCCAACCCCCAGTCCCAGAAGGGTGTGTAGGCTGCCATCAGCCTTGGAGCAGGTCAGGGTGGGTGCAGCCAGGACCCAGCTCCTGTCCCAGGACAGGCAGCACTGTCCCAGGACCCTGACACCCTCTGTCCATCTCCTCCTAGGAGTGGCTTTAAAGGTCCAGGAAGGTGGGTCTCGCCTCTGCAAGCAGCCGTGAGCTCAGGGGTAAGGAAGGGGTTCTAGAGAAATGCAAGATGATGGGTGTTACCCCCGCCTCATAGCCTCAGACTATAGCCTCCTGGAGGGGGGACTGGGCCTCAGTCACTGCTGCAAAGGTAGAACTTTCTGGAAAGACTTTAGGCATTGTACCACTAGCTATACACAGCTATTTATATTTCAATTTAAGTACAATTAAAAATTCAGTTCTGCAGTAGCACTAGCCACATTTCAAGTGCTCCATGGCTCCCTGTGGCCAGTGGCTACCTTGGGTAGCACAGAGATAGAACACGCCCATCCTCCCAGAGGGTTCTCTGCACAGTGGGGACACACAGCATTGAACCGAAGGAAGTTAGAAGCTAAAGGAGGGATAGGAGAGCAGCCTGACAGAAAATTAGGGCATTTGCAAGGATGTCAGGATGGCAAAATGCTTCTTTGCATGTTAGGATATTTGTTGGAGTGCCTGCAATCTGTTAGGACATTTCTAAGTATATTAGAATATCAAATTAAGTGTTAAATAATGGATGTTAGAATATTTATTAGAATCTTTTAATTCTAAAATTTTGATACAGTGTTTGTGAGAATGTTAGAGTATTAGCACAATGGTTAGAATGTTAAAATAATTTTAGTGGAAGATTTGTGGTAAGAACTTTTTAAAAGAATATTATGTTACACATCTGGCTAGAATATTTGTTAGAGGAATAAAATCATTGGCTAGAATGTTAAACTTTTGCTTAAAGCTAGCATTTAGAATGTTTGTGAAGAAATTCAACTTGGAATGGTGGTTAGATTCTCAGAATACTACAATCTCAGGATTGGTAAAGACTTTGGAGCCATCTCCCTTCAATCAAGGGCAGGAATAAATGTGAGATAAAGGTGGCAGTGATGGTAGAAGTGGTGGTGGTGGTGATAATGATGGTGGTGCAGGGTCATAGTAATGCAGATGGTGATGGTGGTTGTAGTCATGGTGATGTGGTGGTCGTGGCAATGGTGGTTATGGTGATGGTGGTGGTGACAGTGATAGTGATCATGATGGTGATGGTGATGATGCTTATGGTGATAGTGATGGTGGTGGTGATGGTGGTGATAATGTTGGTGGTGGTGACAGTGACCATGATGGTGGTGTTGATGATTACAGTGATCATGATGGTGGTGATGATGTTGGTGGTGATGACTGTGGGGGTGGTGATGGTACTAATGGTGGTGGTGGTGATGATAGTGATGTTGATGATGCTTATGGTGATAGCAATGGTGGTGGTGGTGGTGATAATGTTGGTGGTGGTGACAGTGACCATGATGGTGGTGATGTTGCTGGTGGTGATGACTGTGGGGGCGGTGATGGTACTAATGGTGGTGGTGGTGATGATAGCGATGGTGGTGATGATGGTGGTGATAATGTTGGTGGTGACAGTGATCATGATGGTGGTGATGATGTTGGTGGTGATGGAGATGGTGGTGATGGTGGTGATGATGATGCTGGTGGTGGTGGCGGTGGTAGTGGTGGTGATGATGCTTGTAGTGATGGTGGTGGTAGTGATGATGGTGATAGTGATGCTGGTGGTGGTGGCTGTGATGGTGATGGTGGTGATAATGGTGGTAGTGGTGACAGTGACAGTGATCATGATCGTGGTGATAATGCTGGTGGTGATGATGACAGTGGGGGTGGTGATAAAGATGTCATGTATCCAAGACTACATGAGGAGTTAGGGGCAAACTTGGGACCAGAACCTAGGCCCAAAGTATCTGTTTTCCAGCTGGAACCTTCTCAGCCCTGTGGTTCTATGATGGTTCTGTGATTAGCAGACCCTCCCATCCGCACCATCCTACTGCTCCCATCTGTCTGGGGAGAGCCAGAGCTGGACACCCATGGTCTGTGTGCAGGGACCACATGGGGTGAAGCAGCTGTCCCTTCAGTGAAACTCTTCCTTCCCGGCCCTGCCTCTGCCTTCAGGGCAGGTTCTGCAGGGTAAACTGCAGCCAAGTAAGGTATTCTTCCTTCTGGACACAAACAGTGAGTTGGCCCTAGGGCTTTAGGTTTTCCACACTAAACTTCTAACTGGCCTCAGCACACCAATGGCTTGCAACAGTTGCTGAGAGCACGGGTTCTGGAGTAGCTGGGGCCGGATCAAATTCCAGTGGGGCACTGACCAGCCCTGTGCCATCATTTCTTCATCATTTGGTTCAATTCAGTTTATAAAACTTGAGGAAGGGATGTGGTAATGTCTGTGAAGCCCCTGGCATAGGTAATAAGTAGGCATCTAATGTGTGCTGGCTCCCCAAACCTTCCTGGCTCCACTTCAACAACATGAGAGAGAGTGAGCGAGCGCATTTACCCACCACTCCCCACTCCCCAGATATGTCGTGTGCTCTGGTCACGCCCCTGCCCTGCCCTCCACTCTAAGGACTTTGACCTTGATGACTTGGAAGCTGCAGAGCTGGAAGATGTGGTTCTTTGCCATCTCCTGGGGGCCCAGGGGAGTGGCCTTCTGGTCTCTGCTGTTCCAGAGTGGGGCTCCGTCCGAATGGGCCTGGGAGAGCTCCTTGGGGGCCTGTGATTCTGCCTGCAAAGCTTCTCCTGCTGGCCAGGGGCAGGGTGGGTGAGGGCAGGGCGAAGGTGGTCTTGGGGTCTAGTTTGGGACAGGGCAGGGTTAGGGTAGGGTCATTTGTAATCAGGGTCAGGCCTGTGCCCAATTTGGGGACTGGGATCAGAGTGGTGGGGGTCAGGGTGAGGCCATTACAGGGTTATGGCTCAGATCCAGGTTGGGTCTGGGGGTAAATTTGGGGCAAGGTTGAGGTCAGGGGTGCGGGTGTGGGTCTGCCAGAGGTTGTAGCTGGGGTGGAAGTTGGTGCTCAGAACTCACAGAACTCACTTTTGTGGCACATCAAGAGCTGGTAGAGATGGCTTGCCCCTTCCAGGCTGCAGCGCTGGGTGGCCCTGTCTGGGTCCTGGCACAGCATCCCCAGTATGCCCACCAATTGCCCAATCCTTTTGAAGTCCTCTTTTGGCTGTGTTAAGATTACGGGAATCACTGATGGCAGAACCTCCCTGCAGAGCCCTGCCACACACTCACCCAGCACGGCCTACATCAGAGGTGACCCTCCAAAGGTGTGGCAGGGCTGGGACTGGGGGCTGGGCAAAACATTCAGTAATCAAGAAAAGTAATATTTTAGGTGGCCGGGCGCGGTGGCTCACGCCTGTAATCCCAGCACTTTGGGAGGCCAAGGCGGGCAGATCACGAGGTCAGGAGATCGAGACCATCCTGGCTAACACGGTGAAACCCTGGCTCTACTAAAAATACCAAAAATTAGCTGGGTGTGGTAGCGGGTGCCTGTAGTCCCAGCTACTCGGGAGGCTGAGGCAGGAGAATGGCATGAACCCGGGAGGCAGAGGTTGCAGTGAGCCGAAATCACGCCACTGCACTCCAGCCTGGGCGACAGAGCGAGACTCCGTCTCAAAAAAAAGAAAAAAAAAAAAAAGAAAAGTAATATTTTAATGCACTATTTAGAAAAATCAGAATAAGTGCAAAAAACTCTGTGGTGAGCAAAATCTCAAAACTGTAAGTAAAGTCAGGATCTGACCCTGGTTTTGCATGTCACCTCACCTGTCCTACCCTCATCCTGGTCCTGGTTTAATAAAACTTTATTTACAAAAGCAGGTGGTCAGCCCATGGGCCATAGCTTGCCAAATTGAGTTTTAAAAACATTACATGAAAACATGAATCATCTTGATTACAGAGTTTTTTGTTTTGCGGTAAATTTTGTGCGCAAGGTGAGTATCTTGCTTGCCTTACCCTGGTCCGGTCCTCTGATGTTGAAATGGATTTTGAGTAAATTGAAGCCACTTTAATTGTCCTCCTCCTCCTAGGGGTGCAGGGTCTTTCCCTTGGCAGAACAGTCCCCCCTCCTTCCAGCACTTCTGCCTCCTGCCCTCATTAGATCAGGCAGCCACCAGGCATTAGGGCAAGGAACTTATTTCCCCATCCCCCTGAGTATGCCTAGGGAGTTAATGCGGGTTTGGGCTCATACTCGCGGAAGCGCACTCTCTGACAATGTGCTGATGCAACTCAAGGGCAGTAGCGACAGATGAGGGCTGTGAGCCATGTCATGATAGGGGCTGCACTGGCGGAAGGGTGGTGGGGTGGCCACTCCATGCAGCAAGGAACCCCTAATCAGGCGCAGGGCCGTACAGTTTACCAGCCTTCTCACGGCCTCCGCCCCATCTGAGCTCCACCATATCGCTCTAGGGAGGGGTCATTTCCATTCACTTTACAGGTGAAAAGCTGGGGCTCGTTGAGGAGAAACACCTGTACAAGGCCTCAGGTGCATAGACAGGTGCTTAGCTCCAGGGTCAGGGGTCAGGGTTCAGGGTGACCTGCCTTCAGATCCCAGCTGTGAGGCCTCGGGCAGGTCCTGCCCCTCCCTGCCTGTTCCCTCAGTTGCAAGGAGATTGCCTGGGCCGCCAGTCAATATGGAGCCCGGCTGTGCTGTCGGGTATTCAGGGATCCACTCTGTCCTGGAGGCGGGTGTCCAGGGGGCCTTGAACCCTATGAACCCTGGGAGGATCTGGGAGGAGGGCGGCTCTGGCTGGGCCCTTGCGATCCAGGGCAGGAGGCCCAGCCGGCAGAGCGGGTGCGGGACGTGGGACCGGCGAACCGCGTACTCACGTCCAAGTAGCCATTGTGGTTCAGGAATTTGAGGAGGATCATGCAGCTGTGCACAGCCCGCTGCCGCTCATGCGCCTTCTCCGACGCCAGCCAGATGTACAGGTGCTGTGGGGCGGGCAGGGTCAGGGAGAGGATTCTAAGGGGCCCTCGGCCCAGGCCCCGCCCACTCGGCCCAGGCCCCGCCCACCGGCTTTGACCCCCCCCCCCCGCCCCCCCCCGCCCCAAGGCCCCATCCATCCTCGGCCAGGCTCTGCCTGCTGCACTTACAAAGCCATCTGGAGACTGGTACGTCAAATAGTTTTTAAGCCAAATCTGATATATGATTAGATATATAATTAGTGGCTCTGAAGTAGGATGAGGGTACATGGTATTTGGAGATTCTGTGACCCAGTGGTGTCCCAGAAACACATCTGTGACTTCCCCAAGACGCGCTGGGCTCCTCTGCACTGCTCACCTTTGCCCTGCGTGCCGTCTGCCTGCTGGGCCCCTCCCTTCCCTTCTCTGCCTGTGGCTGCCTTAGTCCTCAGCCGGGGCTGCGAGAAGTCCCGCTGGGCTTGACCTCTGAGCCAGAGCCAGCCTCCCCTCCCTGGGCTTCCGCCTGCCCCGGGACTGTCATTGCCTGCTCTGGTCTCTCTCCTGACAAGGTGAGGAAGGGCGGGGGGGAGTGGGGGCAGCGGGTTTGGGAGACCCTTCAGGGGACACTGCAGGGGAAGTTCTCTAGGAGGGGAGGGCGGGACCCTCATCAGCCCTCTTTCTTTCTTTTTTTTTTGAGACAGAGTTTCTCTCTTTTGCCCGGGCTGCAGTGAAGTGGTGAGATCTCAGCTCACTGCAACCTCCATCCCCCGGGTTCAAGCGATTCTCTTGCCTCAGCCTCCTGAGTAGCTGGGATTATAGGTGCCCACCACCATGCCTGACTAATTTTTTTTTTTTTTTTTTTATTTTTAGTAGAGATGGGGTTTTACCATGTTAGCCAGGCTGGTCTCGAACTCCTGACCTCAAGTGGTCCACCCGCCTTGGCCTCCCAAAGTGTTGAGATTACAGGCGTGGGCCACTGTGCCTGGCCTATCAGCCCTCTTTCTACCAGGCCACCTGCTGTCTCTCCCTCCCCAGTGCCCCAAACCACTGTGATCCCTAAGTGCGGGTGGCCCTCACCCCTCCTGGTTCCTGGACCACTCGAAGCCCCCAGGTCCCGCCTTGTCTCCTCTGAGATGCCCTCCTTTGGAGTCTGGCCATAGGCTGAGGACCCCTCGGCCCCAGCCGACTGGCCTCCCTGCAGCCTCACCGACAGCAGGAAATGCAGCTCGTCGGCGGTGGGGTTCTGCATGATGAGGCTTTGCAGCATGAAGTCCAGCGCCTCCATGGTCCTGCTGTACAGGCTCTGTGTAGAGACAAGGGTGGTCAGGCAGTGCCACGCCCAGTGGACGCAGGGCTTGAGGAGCGCCTACTTCCTGCATGTGCCGGGCTGCTCACCACTGGGGCTTGCCACCATGCCTGCGAGGGGGCCGCCATGGCCCCCATTTGGCAGATGTGGGGACTGGGTGGGGAGGCCTCTGGTGATCACCCAAGGGCACAGGTATCTCAGTGGCCCGGACGAGTTCATTCCTAGCAGGGCTAGCTTCACAGGAGGGTGCCCTGAGTGGTCCCAGGGTCCCGGGCTGAAAAGGGCCCTGCGCTGGGTGAATGCTCTGGAGGTTCTTAGGTTTGAAGCAGGGGCTGGCATCTTCATTTTGCCCAGGCCCTGCCAATGATGCAGTGGGCTGAGTTCTGGGTCTTACATGCCATGCTCCTAATCTTCACTGCTTTGCTTACTGGGCACGTTCAGGGAAGGAGAGGACCAGAGAAATGCCCCCAGCTACCCTCCCTTCAAGGGCCCACCAGGAGCAGAGCCCTGGGGCTCTGGTCACTCAGTAGGTGCCCTGGGGAGACTTACTTTGACTCTCTGAGCTTACTTTCCTCACCTGAGAATGGCATGAAGTCAGCCCCACCTGCCAGAATGGAGGCAGGCAGGGGATTGGAGTCAACAGGAACCCCAGCTCAGTGCTCCCAGCTCCCAGCGCCGGACCCCCAGACACCAGGTGGCACTCCCTGGGTGAGCCAGCCTCAGTGTCACCGTGTCATCAGGTAACGGGGTCATTCTGAACTGTGGTGGGATTGGGGTGTGGCCAGGGGCCACCCTTCTGGAGGGCTGTGTTGCCCTGGTCCCGGGACACCTTCGTTCTCTCACCACCTCACCCTAAGTGTCTGTCTGTCTAGTTCCAGCCTGGACTCACCCTTGGGGGGTAGGGTCGGGGTTCAAACCCTGCCTCTCCCACCAGACAGCCTCATTTCTCTGAGCATTTCTTTACCCTGGGGCCGCTGCTGGGAAGGTGAGATAACTGATCTAGGGCCTGGCACCTAGCAGGGGCTCAGTTAACACTGGCTCTGGCCACAGGCCGAGGACCGCAGACACACCCGAAGCCAGGCACGGTGACTGTGCCCAGGAGCCACTCATGTACCCAGTGGTGGCCATGAGCAATGGCAGGCATCTCTCTGCAGGGGTGGCTTTTACTGAACAGAACCCAGGAAGGGGTGGGCACTGGCCAAGTGCTGAGAGCAATCCTGGAGTTCCTTCCCCCAGCCTCCTGGGGTGGCAGGGTGGGCTGGGCACGGCCTGGGCACGGCACCACCTCTGAGTAGCTGTGTGGTGAGACTGAGCCCACCCTGCAGGGAAGGTGACTCACTCCAGGTGTTGCAGGGATCCCTACAAGGTTGGGGAACTCATCTCCCCTCCTCTCCGCTTCCCTTGGGCTGCTGGGGAGCTCAGCGAAAACTCAGACCTGACCCTGCCACATAGCATGGCGGCCAAGGCCTGCAGGGCTGGGCAGCACCGGCTTGCCAGCCTCTTCCCGCTGGCTCTCAGGACTGGCAGGGAGGGAGGGAGGCCACACGCGCCACTGTTTACAGGGTGCTCCTCCACGCCACTGCTCACCCAGTGTCTCAGTTCAGTCGCCAAGTGTTAAGTACCATTGGCCCTGTTAGTATCACCCCCATTTTACAGGTGGGCAAACACACTGCAGCATATAGCACACAGCAAACCTGTAGGTGCTCAGAGCAGTGAAGAACTGCCCTGGGTCCCCAGCCCTGGTGCGTCCAGCCTGCCCGCTCCCGAGCCACGGGCCACAGCTGGATGTTGGGAGGCTCCAGAAAGAGGCAGGTGTGCTTCTCCAGGGCATCCAGCAGTGGCAGGGCAAACACGCTGCGGAAGCAGGTGGACAGGAGCTGAGACTTCCTTTCCAAGTCTATGGGAGGCCTCAGCTTGCTGTTGGGAAGACAGAGGGCCATTAGCATGGGGCTGGGGCCTGGGGAGGTCCCTGAGTGGCGTCTGCCTTCATCCCTGCAGACTTCAGGCCTTCTGCTGTTCACAGAGACTCTTGTGCACACATCTGCCTCCCTGGCCCACCTGCCTCTGCAGGGCCTTGAGCTGGGGCATCCTGGCCAGGTGATGTCCTGGTCCATCTCTCCTCTCAGTCCCTGGCTTTAAATGCCACCCTGATGCTGTCTAAGGAGCATCTCCATCTTGATGCATTCCCCCAGGGTAGCTGCACCTGCAGCCCGCCCCATCACAGTGGACTGCAGTGCCGTCCTCCTTGTTGCTTGGGCGAAGCCTCAGCACCTTCTCCATTCTTTTCCCTCCCTCGAAAGCTGCGTCCAGCCCTCCAGCAGCTCCTGACAGCTCTACCATCACAATTTATTCGACATTTAAGGACTTCTTACTCTTAATCAGAACACTTGTTACTTTTCTCCTGGATTGTTCTAGGGAGTCCTGACTGGTCCCCCATTTTTTCTTGGAAGCTCCATCTACTCCCCACACTGGATCCAGACATTCCTTCTCAAGTGTGACTCCCCCAAGGCCCCACCTCGCTCAGGCAAGAGCCAGTGCCCTGCAGTAGCCTGGACGACCTTCCCCGTGGCTCCCGGGGCCCTCAGGCATTCCAGTCCTGCCACCCTGGCCCTCTGCGGGTCCTCCAGCAACCCTGCTGCACGCCAGCCTCGGGGCCTTTGCACCCGCTGTCCCTTCAGCTGGAAACTGCAGGGCTACTCTCTCACCCTTTCAGGTCTTTGCCCAAAAGTCCCCTTTTAGGGCCGACTAACCCAGCCTCAGGCTGTATCCTGGAGCCTAGAAGAGCTTGGGGCCAGTGGTGGGTGCCCAGTCCACCAATATTCAGTTAATCAATTCTCCTTGCAGGGTCTCCTGTAGCCCTCAACCCATGAAGATCTTACCTCCCCTCCACCTCGCTCCCCCAGCTCCATCTGCCTTCAGGCAGCAGTGTCAGCTGTCACTGAGATGTGTGGTTTGTTCATGGTCTGTCCCCATCCCCCAAGGGTCAGCTCTTGGAGAACAGGAATGTTCCCTGCTGTCCCACAGCTGGGTCCTCAGACCCCAGAATGGTGCCTGGCACACAGAATGGTGCTCCATTTCTGACCTCTCCACCTTGCTGCCTGCCAGCTCCAAACCCAAGTGGAGAGGCTGCTGCGTGGCACTGAGGAAGCCCTGTGTGAGGCGGGGGGCCTACCAGAGGCTGGACGCGATGTGCATGGCCTGCTGGCGACTCCGCGTGCACAGAGTGTCCTGGGGCTCCTTCTCCATCAAAACCTGCAAGTCCCAGGTGGCACCAAGCCGCTCAGGCCTGGCCTGTCCCCCTTCCGACGCCAGGTCTCCCCACCCTGGGAAGACCTCAGTGCCCAGCATCCCCGAGAACCGCAGGATTACGCTCTGGCCCTTCACCCGCCCAGAGAGGCCTCTGTGAGCTGCCCCACCAGGAGGGCAGAGCACCAGAGCAAAGCCACTGGAGTCAGGTTAGGACATGCCCTAGAAACCCACCCCACTCCTTCCGCAGGGAGTAAACTGAGGGAGGCTGCCCGCCTCACCCAGGGCCTGGAACACACCATCAGACACTGGAGGAGCTCAGAGGTCTGGAAGAACTCGTAGCTGTGGGCGCCCTCACTCCGGCTCACCGCACCCATCAGCATCAGGGTGGCTGTGAGGAAGCTCTGCTTCAGGGTCTCGTCCTGCAACGGGGGACAGGGTCAGGGCCCAGGGCGCGGGAGTGTGCAGTGGGAGCAAGAGCGTGAGGCTGTGATCCAAGGGGCAGCAGGGTCATGGCTGAAAGGGGACAGCAGAGACCACCCACCGAGGCCGCACCTGGGGGGCTTCTTAAGGGGTGGGGCTGCATGGTTTTAAAACTGTAATTTACAACGTTTAAACACTGGGACAGTGCCTGTAAGTCTCTTGAGATGTGGCAACCCCATGCCCCAGGGCCACAGCAGCAGCGACCCGGGGCAGCGATGTGGCTACTTTGGGGTGGGGGCAGCCCTGCGGGGCCCCTCACAGTGACCTGGGCTGGAGGCCACTGGTGTGAGGTGTGGAGTCAGGGGCTTGTCATCATAACACGATGGACGTCAGCCTGGCCTCTCCGTACCCATGTCCCCCACCCGCAAAGTGAAACCCAGGGTTTGCTTTAAGAGGAGAAGTGAGGGTAGAGGCATCATGAAGCCCAGCGAACTTTCGGTGGGATGGACGGACGAAATCTTGGGCCACCAGAAAGCTGGGCCTGGTTCCTCATGATTCCAGGGTGGGGTGGGGCATGGGGGTGGGCTCCAAGGCCCTGGGAGGTCCTGGAATTCTCTGCTCTGAGAGGCCGGTGGGGCGGCTCTGGGCTGGGGTCCGGGACTCGGTCTTGGTGGGGAGGGGCAGGTGTTGGGATGTTGCAGGGGCAGCCAGAGGCCTACCCAAGAGCTGTAGTGGAAGTAGAAGACCATCCTGGACACGATGTTGTCCACCCACGGGAGGATGTGGGCCCGGGCTTTGGCTGCCACCTGGCCGTATGCCAGGAGGATGGTGCTGCTGGCCCATTTCCAGCGCAGGTCCTCCGAGTTCTGGCCCAGGGGTGGCAGGCAGGTGAGGAGTGTCAGCACCCCGCCCTACCCTCCTCTGGGGAGCTGTGGAGGTGGTTGCCTGGCTCTAGCAGGGCCCTGGGGGCAGGTGTCTGTCCTGAGGGGCAGTGAGCCTCCATCTCCTCAGTCGGAAAACAAGGGGACTAGGACTGGCTCTTTGGGGGATGGCTGGGGCCTTGTTAGGGCCATGGTTTGGGTGGGGTGTTAGGGTGGGGTGTGTGTGGGGCGCTCGTCTCTGCTGGAGCTGGCTGGGGTCCAGGCCCCTTGCCTTCCCCTCCTTGTGGGGGCCCCTCCCACACCCACCTGAATGGGGTGGGTGAACGGGGTAGTGTCCTAGGAGTCCCCAGAGGCTGACCTTCACAGATGGTGGGGGTCTTGCTGTCCTAGACCCCTGCTGGTCTCTGAGGACCCCTGAGCCAGTACCTTTGGGGAGGAGCTGGGGAGACTCCATCTGATGGGCCTGCTCCTGCCAAACTGGTCCAGGACGGCCCAGACGTCATCCAGGTGGCGTGTGGCCGCCAGCCCCAAGGTCAGAGCCATGCCCTGTGGGTCGGGTATCAGGGTCACTCATCAGGGGACCCCAAAGTCCAGGACCGGACCCGGCTCCTCCCCTGGCAGGAGGGAAAACTGAGGAGGAACAGGACCCCCAGAGGGGGTTGGGGCTCATCCAGGGCCCCAGGGCAGCCAGCAACCACCCCACTCTGTCAGGACCTGTGACCGAGCCCATGCCAGGGGACACCCGGCTTATGGGGTCTGGTGGGGGGAGTGAGGGGCGTGGGGGGCAGAGGTGAATCCCTGGAGGCCCATTATCCCTCACTGCCGGCTATGAGCAGGCTGTGCCGGAGTGGCAACGAGGAGATGTGTTTAAGAAGGAGGAGGAGGGCTACGCTGCGGCTGAGATCACGGCTGTAACTGGGGTCAGGGGTTAGCCTGTGATCAGCGTCAAGGTTCAACTGTAGACCAAGGTCAGAACTTAGTTTGTGACCAGGGTCAGGGGTTGGGGTGAGAAGAAGGAGAAGGCTCAGGCTGTGGTCAGGATTAGGGCATGGTGTGAGACCAGCCATCAGGCTCAGCCTGTGGTCACGGTCAGGTGGTGGCGGGGACAGGGTGGGGCCTGGGTCCTCACCTCCCTCTGCTTGGGCCACTGGTGGGATGTTTCCAGGAGGGCTTGCAGGTGTCTCCTGACCGTGGCACCATTTTTTTCAGCTTGAAGGATTAGCCCATAGTAGGTAAACAGGAAGGCCTGTGGGAAGGGCAGCATCTTATCCTGTGCTTGACCCCCCCCAAGGTGGCCTGCCACCTCCTCTGAGCAGCTGCCCCTGACCACACTGGCTTGGCCTCCCTCGGCCCCTGCAGCCACCGCAACACCCGGCTGTGGTCTGTCCAAGCCTCTGCCTGCGGCTGCAGCGAGTGCAGCTCAAGTCCTGCTGTCCAGGCCCCACCCCTGCCTCAAGTCCACCAACTTCTTTCTAGGACCCTGGGTGTCCTATGGACAGAGCCCCTGGGGCTGTGTAGGGGGCAGGCAGGGGCTGCTCCTGGAGGCAGGGTGGGGCTCACCTTCTCAGGGGACTGCTCCTGTTGGGTCCAGCTGGGCGTGGTGAGTGTCCACAGCAGCTCCTTGGACCACACATCCGTGCTCAGGAACGGGACTGACTTGATGGCCATCTGTCAGCAGAGGGGCATGGGGGGCTGGAGCCGTCTGTCCCTCTACCTGAGAGCAGGGCCTGAGATTCTAGCTGCCCCAGCCCACCCTGGCCACCCTGAACCCTGATTCCATCACCCCCTTGTCCCTCCCTTCTTTTGAGTCCCCAGCGCCCAGCTCTCTTCTTTGTTCTATGGTTCTCAGGGACAGGGAACTCATTCCCGAAGATTCTTTCTGCAGAGGGGTTCAAGGTGAGGCTGGGAAACCAGGAGGCTGGAGACTGGAGTCCTGACTGTGTCCTGGGCACCACCCAGGAGTCTCCAACATAGCAGATGATTAGTGAGTGTCAGCTGAAGGTGGCTCCTCTGCGGTGGGTGCCAGGAGGGCAGGGCCTCGTCTGGTTATTCACAGCTGGATCTCCAGCACCCTGCATGGTACCCGGCACACAGCAGATAGGCCATTAATTTTATAAATCAATAAATGAGAAATCAAATGAATGAATGAACTGTCCCTTCAAAATATAAGGTCCTGAAAGTTCTGTTCCTAACATCACGTGATTTTATAACGATGACTGCAATATTTCTCAATTTCAAGTGTTCCCAGATTCTGTGATTCAATATTTCCAAAGTTTTTGATCCCAAGATTCTTTGGGGGTGGGTGATAACCTCCAAAATTATGATCCCAAACCCAAAAACCTTAAAAGCAAAGATTGCTAAATGTGAAGATAAACATTTAAAAAAGCTGGTTCAGCAAAATTACTATAAATTAAGTGGAAAGATGAAGCAAAGTTTTGTTTTATCTTTGTTGCTGCCTATTGCCAAGGGTTAACATCAGAGATCAACAACCCGCACTTTATAAATCGATAAGAAGATGACAAACAAGACACTGTAAAATGATGAAGGGATACATACATGATGAAGACACTGTAAACTCAACCTTGCTAATACTTAAGGAATGAAAACTAATGTAATGTTTTGACTAAGATTGGCAAACAGTCAAACACTGACTATCAGCAAGGAAGTGTCCTTTGGTGGGAGGGTGATTGGATCTGCATTTTTGGAAGGTTTTTTCAATCTCAATTAAAAGGCAATGTCAATATCAAAGTTGAAAATATACAGAATTTCCCTAAGCAACCCCATTTCTAGAAGTTTATCCTAAAGGAATACTAAATTTGTGATGCCATGAGCATGAGGGGACATCTTGTGGGGCAGAAGACACAGGTGGGACCATTTGCATCCTCCTTGGAATTGATCCCTTGGTCCCTGGAATGGAAATCCCCCCCCCACTTATGGTAGAATCTGGAAGAGCTTGTCTGCCCAGGATAGACCTCCTCCTGGCCATTTGTAAAACACTGGGGTACAGCGGGACCTGGGGGGCTGTCTCACCCACAAAACAGGTGATGGCAGAATGTCCATGAAACCCCAGCCCCCCAGGAAGCCCTGAGGTCCCCCAGAAGGTCCCCTCCCCCAGACCTTTACTGTCTTTGTTCACTGCTGCATATAACAATGCCACAGTTCCTTGTCTAAAATTCAAATTCCCAAGCTCAGAAAATTAAACATTTTTCCCCCATAGCTTTGTAGCAACCTCATTGGATAGCAGACTCTGAGCTGCACTGACGTGATGCGATTTGTGGGACCTGGTGTGACTATTTGCTTCTGATTGGATAGCAGACACTGAGCTGCACTGACGTGATGCGATTTGTGGGACCTGGTGTGACTATTTGCTTCTGTAGCAGGGACGCCAATCTATTTCATTCTACATCTGCCCAGACCCTCCTAAGGATGTTCTTGGAATATACAGTGTGTATATCATATTACTTTTTAAAAAATCTAAAATATTCTGAATTTTGAAGCACATCTCTTCCCCAAATTTTTAATTTTTAAAGTTTTAAGTATTTAAAAAATTGAGATATTTTAACTCACAATGAAGTGCACAGATCTTTACTGTAGAGCTCATGAATCCAGCCCATGTAATTTACATCCTCTCAGGATATAGAACATTTGCCACCACCCCAAAAAGCTCTCTCATGCCCCTTCCTGGTTAAGCTCCCTCACTACAAAACTGTTCTGATTTCCCTGCCGATGAGTTTGGCCTTTTCTAGAATTGCATGTAATTGGAAGCAGGCAGTCTGTGATCTTCTGTGTCTGGAACTTTTTCTCTCAGCATGTTTTTGAGATTCATCCATGTCGTTGCATGTGCCGCAAGTTCACTCCTCTTTTTCTATTTTAACTTTTATTATTTCATTTCCTTTGCCTGGTTCAGGTTCAACTTGATCCTTCTCTAGTTTCCTGAGACGGACACTTAGATGATTGACTTTAGATCTTTTCAGGGGGATGTGCGGCATCCTGCCCGTCTGGGTTGTTTCCAGTTTGAGGCTAGAATGAATAAGGCTGCTATGACCATTTTTGTAGAAGTAATTTTGTGTATGGATGTTTTCACATCTCTTGAGTACAATACCGAAAAGTGGGATTGCTGAGTCATATGTTAACTTCAGAAGAAAATGTCAGTTTTCCAAAGAGGTTGCGCCATTTTCCCGTCCTGCCCTCAACGTTCTGCTGGCTCCGCGTCCTTGCCAATGTCTGTTGTGGTCCTTGTTTCACCTGTGTGCCCTTGGCAGAGACACGGAGGCGGCTCCTTGTGGTTTTAACTGAGCCTTCCCTGAGGACTAACGACGCTCATCGTTTTTTCACTTGCTTATTGGTCATTGAGATGTCTTCCTTCCTGAGGTGCGTTGTGGATTTTTTGCTCATTTAAGAAATTGACCTCTTTGTCTTTTGCTTACTGAGTTATACAAGTTCTTTATTTATTCTGGATATAGGCTCTTTTCCAGTTTGTGAGTATTTTCTCCATGTCTGTGGCTTGCCTTTTCATTTTCTTAGCATTATCAGTTGATGAAACGTTTTAATTTTGATGAAATCTAACATCATTTTTTAAATCTTTATGATGATTACTTTCTGAGCCCTAAGAAATATCTAGCTACCCTAAGGCTGGCAAGATTTTCTCCCATGTTTTCTTCTAGACACTTTTGAGTTTTACCTTTTACATTTTAGCCTTTGGCTCCATCTCTAATTAATATTTGCGAATGGTTTGAACTAGGCACTAAAGTTCACTTTTTTTCTTACATATATGAAATAGTTTATAAGACTTTCCCCATTGAACTGCTTTGATATATTTTTCTTTAAAAAAATCAATCGACTGTTTACGTATGGTTTGATATTGGATTTTCTATTCTGTTCAATTGATTTATCTGTTTAACCTATGCCAATGCTTCATGTCTTGTTTGCTGTAGCCCTATAGTAAGTCTTGAAATCAAGTAGCCAATTTCTTGCAACTTTTTTCTTTTTCATAATTGTTTTGGCTATTCTAGGTTCTTTAAAATTTCTTTATAAAAATTTATTCTATAGCTTATATTTAATCCTACAATATAGTTTTCTGAGATTGATTGGCATTGCATTCAATCTACAAATAAATTTTGGGAGAATTGACATCTTACCATTATTAAATCATTTTGTCCACAAACATTGTATGTCTCCACTTTTTAAGGGTTGTTTTAATTTCTCTTTGCAATGCTTTGAAACAATATTGCATATATTTTGTTGCATTTATCTTTGAGTCTTTTATATCTTTAATGCTGCTGAAAATGTCATTTTTTAAGAAAAATTTTATTTTCTAATTATTTGTTACCAGTATATAGAAGTTCAATTGATTTTTATATATTGATCTTGTATCCTGAGATCTTGCTACATCCAACTATTAGTAATTATTAGTTCTAGTATTTTAAATATGATTCTGTAAGATTTTCTATGTATATAGTCACATGTCTACAAAAGAGATAGTTTTACTTTTTGAATTGCAATCTCTGTCTTTTTTCCCTTCTCCTTTTTCTTACCTTATTGCATTGGCTAGCAACTTCAGTGTAATGTTGAGTGGAAGTAGAGAGAAAGGACACCTTTGCTTTATTCCTGATCTTAGTGGGAAAGTGTTTGGTCTTGGATCATTAATTGTGTTAACTGTAGCTTTAGATGTCCATTGTCACATTGAGGCAGTTTCCTTCTACTCCTAGTTTGTTGAGAGCTTTTATCATGGACAGGTATTGAATTCTGTCAGATGCTTTTTCCACATGATTTTTTATAAATATGACCAAACTTTTTTTACTTTATTCTGTTAATGTGTTGAATTGCACTTATTGCTTTTCAAATGTTAAATTGACCTTGTGTCCCTGGGATAAGCCCTCCTTGATCATGGTGTATTATCCTTTTATTCAATTTGTTAATATATTGTTAAGATTTTTGAGTCTATTTTCAGGCAGGCGGTGGCTCATGCCTGTAATCCCAGCACTTTGGGAGGCTGAGGCAGGCAGATCATGAGGTCAAGAGATTGAGACCATCCTGGCCAACATGGTGAAACCCTGTCTCCACTTTAAAAGAAAAAAATACAAAAATTAGCTGGGGGTGGTGGCATGTGCCTGTAGTCCCAGCTACTTGGGAGGCTGAGGCAGGAGAATCACTTGAACCCGGGAGGCAGAGGTTGCAGTGAGCCGATATTGTGCCACTGCAGCCTGGCATGTGCCTCCAGCAACAGAGCGATACTCTGTCTCAAAAAAAAACAACAACAACTATTTTTGAGTCTATTTTCATAAAATATATTGGTCTTTAGTTTTCTTTCTCTTTTTGTAATGTCTTTGGGTTGTGTAGCCCTCATAAAATGATTTAGGAAGTTATTCCTTCCTCCTCTATTTTCTTGAAAACATTTGTATAGAATTAGTACTATTTCTTTTTTAACTTTTTGATAGAATTCACAGTGAAGTGTCTGGGCTTGAAGTTTTCTTAGTGAGAATGTTTTAAATTATGATTTCAATTTATTTAATAGATATAGGACTATTTATTTTTTGTTTCTTATGTCAGTTTGGTAACGTGTTTTTTAGAGAATTTGTCTATTCAATCTAAATTATCTAATTTATTGAATATTTCATTATAATTTTTAATGTCTGAGGGATGTGTAGTGTTCCTTATTCCTTTCTGAAATTGGTATTTTGTGTTTTCTCTCTTTTTGATCAGTCTAGTGAGGGGGTTTATCAATTTACTTATTTATTTATCATTTTTTAAATAGAGATTGGTCTTGCTCTATTGTCCAGGCTGTAGTGCAGTGGTTTGATCCCAGCTCACTGCAGCCTTGAACTCCTGGGCTGAAGTGATCCTTCTGCCTTTAGCCTCATGAGTAGCTGGACTACAGGTATAAGCTACTATGCCTGGCTAGGTTTTAGAAGTGTTTTTTTTTTCTTAAATCTCATATTCAACCCTAATATAAATTTTTTTAGAGACAGGTTCTTACTACGTTGCTCAGGTTGGTCTTGAACTCCTGGCCTCAAGCAGTCCATCTGCCTCAGCCTCCAGAGTAGCTGGCATTACAGGCATAAGCCATGGCATCTGGCTCAATGTATTGATCTTTTGGTTCTAGTCATTCTCTGTTTATCTCTTTTTGTTTCTTTGATTTCTGCTCTAGTTTTTGTTATTCCTTCCTTCTACTTACTCTGAGTTTATTATCTGCTCATTTTTTGGCTAGTTTCTTAAAATAGAGGCTTAGATAATTGACTTTATACCTTTCTTCTTTCCTAATGTAGGCATTAAAATATAAATTTCCTTCTAAATATTGCTTTTTATCGCATCCCACTGATTTTCATATGTTGCGTTTCATTATCATTCAGTTCAAAATATTTTCTAATTTTCCTTGTGATTTCTTCTTTGACTGATGGGTTATTTAGAAATGTGTTGTTTAATTTCCAAGGATTTGAAGTTTCTCCAGATGTATTTTATTTTGGACTCTAATTTGTATTTTGATCAGAGAATGTACTCTGTTTGATATCAGCTGTTTTAAATTTGTTGAAACTTGATATATGGCCCAGCATATGGTCTATCTTGGTGAATTAAAAAAAAAATTTAATATTTTTAATTTTTGTGGGTATATAGTACGTATATAAATTTATGGGGTATATGGGATATTTTGCTACAGGTGTACAATGTGCAATAATCACATTAGGGTAAATAAGGTATCCGTCACTTCAAGCGTTTATCCTTTGTGTTACAAACAATCCACTTATACTCTTTTACTTTATTTTATTATTATTTTTTAAGACGGCGTCTCACTCTTTTGCCCAGGCTGGAGTGCAATGGCACGATCTCGGCTCATTGCAACCTCCATCTCCAGGGTTCAAGCAGTTCTCTGCCTCAGCTTCTCGAGTAGCTGGGACTACAGGTGCATGCCACCATGCCCAGCTAATTTTTGTACTTTTTAGTAGAGACGGGGTTTCGTCATGTTGGGCAGGCTGGCCTTGAACTCCTGACCTCAGGAGATCCACCGGCCTCAGTCTCCCAAAGTGCTGGCATTACAGGCATGAGCCACTGTGCCCGGCCCTCTTTTAGTTATTTTATTTTATTTTGAGATGGAGTCTTGCTCTATTGCTCAGGCTGGAGTGCAGTGGCGTGGTCTTGGCTCACTGCAACCTCTGCTTCCTGGTTTCAAGTGATTCTCCCATATCAGCCTCCCGAGTAGCTGGGATTACAGGCATGTGCCATGATGCTGGGCTAATTTTGTATTTTTAGTAGAGATGGGATTTCGCCATATTGGCCAGGCTGGTCTCGAACTCCTGACCTCAAGTGATGGGCTCGTCTTGGCCTCCTAAAGTGCTGGGATTACAGGGGTGAGCCACCACACCCAGCCTCTTTCAGTTATTTTAAAATCTACAATTGACTAATGGACTATAGTCACCTTGATCTTATTCATCCTTCCTATTTTTTGTACCCATTAACCATCTCCATTTCCCCCCAAACCCCCTGGCGAATATTTTGTTTGCACTTTATTAGACGAATTTGGTTAATGTATTGTTCAAGTTTTCTCTATCCTCCGTAACTTTTTGTCTTCTTGTTCTATCAATTGCTTGTGTTGCTGCTGGTGCTATTTCTACTGGATACCATTCCATTCCAAGTATTCTCCTGCCGCCACCGCTGCTGCTCCTGTCACTACCACTACAGCTCTTCCCATAGGACAATAATGACATTAGCGAGGGTTTCCTGCGTCACTGGCACGGTGCCCGATGCTTTCCACGGATTACCTCGTATACTCGTCATACCCACCATTTGAGTGAAGTGCTTGGATTCCCATTTGACAGATGAGGAAACTAAGGGACCGAGAGGTGAAGTGGGTCCCCCAGGTCACAGAGTGGTGATTGGTTGAATATGGGCTTGGATCCAGGGGGCGGGGGTCTCGTGTCCCTTCCCTCAGCCATGTCAGCCCCTCACTCACTCGGGTGTGTGTTCAGGGATGGGCCTGCACGGACTCTGTTTCTTGGCTGGGGCTCCCTCTGTTCACCCCAACCTGCTTCCTGCCTTCCAGGGTGACAGCTCTGGCTGAGTGCGTTGCGTATGTGCTCTGTGCCAGGCATGTGGAGACCGAGGTTTGAATCCCACCGCCTCAGTGACAGGCCCTGTGACTGTGGTCCCCTCCCGAATCCCAGTGCTGCAGTCCCCTTCCCAATCCCAGTGCTGCAGTCCCCTTCCCAATCCCAGTGCTACAGTGACGGGCCCTGTGACTGTGGTCCCCTCCCCAATCCCAGTGCTGCAGTGACGGGCCCTGTGACTGCGGTCCCCTTCCCAATCCCAGTGCTGCAGTGACGGGCCCTGTGACTGTGGTCCCCTTCCCAATCCCAGTGCTGCAGTGACTGGCCCTGTGACTGCAGTCCCCTCCCTTTTCCAGACTTGTGTGCTCATCTGCAGAGTAGGGGCCTCCCTCCCTCCTTCCCTCCCTCCTTCCCTCCCTCCTTCCCTCCCTGCTCCCTCTTGTTCCCCCATCTTCCTCCCTCCCCCTCAATCCCCTCTTCTTGCCTCCTCCTCCTCCTTTCCCCCCTCCCTCTCATTCCTCCCTCCTTCCTCCCTGACATTCCCTCCTTCCTCTCATCCTCCCTGTCTCCCCACTACCCTCTCTTCTCCCTCCCCTCCCCTTTTCTCTCTCTCTGCCTTCCCTTCCTCCTCCCTCCTTCCCCCTACCCCTCCTCCCAGGCACCCATCCTGCTGCCTCTCCCCTGTTGCCCCCACAGAAGGTCTGGTGGCTGGGAGCTGGGCTCCTTCCCTACCTGGATCAGTTGCTCTTCCCAGCAGGCCTTGTCTTCCTGGCTGAAGAGCTCCTCTGTGGGAGGAGGGATGGGTCACAGGGCCCTGTCTAACACCCGTCTCTTCCGGCCTTTAGCGCTGGCCCGGGCTGATGCTGCTGGCCTCTGCCTGCCCTACCTCTGTGGGGCGCGGGAGCTGGAGGGATGTGAGCCGGGCTTGGCTCTGGGTTCAGAGAGCTGGGGTGGGCTTGCGGCCCAGCTGCTCTTACTGTGTGGCCTCAGGCGGGCTGGGCTCCCTCTCTGGGCCTCGGGCTCACTCATGGTGAATGGAGGGGCGCTGCCAAGCATGGCCTCTCAAGAGTGGGAAAATAAGCCTTTGGGAGGGAGGCATTGTGAGAGTGGAGAGCTTTTCCGGAACTTTGGAACCTACCCCAGAGGGAAAGGCTGATTTGGGGAGGGATCTGGCAGCCTCAGCAGTACCCCCAGGTGCAGAGGGACCTCCATGCAGCCTGCTAATCCTGGGGTGGGAGGTGCAAGGCCAAGCCGAGCAGGTCCTGCTTCCCCTCAGGTCTTAGCGTCCAAACACCCCTGCTGGGCCTGGGCCTCCCTGCAGGTCACAGGGCCTGCCACACCCCAACCCCACCCCTCACTGTGGCTGCCGACCAACTCTTCCTCAAGGCCCTTGGCAGAAGGAGTGTCCCTCCTCACCCTCCTACGCATCCCTCTAGATGTGGCCTATACTGGCTGCCTCCTCCAGGAAGCCCTCCTTGATGGCCCCAGGACAACTGGTCCCTTTCCTCTCTGGGCAACCCCAGCTGCCCTCAAGGCAGCCCTGCATCTCCCAGTGGGAAGCGCAACAGCATATGCTGTGAATGAATGAGTGAATGAATGAAGGCTGCCCCTCGCCTCTGTGTGGCTGGGGGCCTGGCATGGGTAGGTGCTCAGTAAGTGTTCGCTATTTTGTGTCAGCAACTCTCTGAATGTCCTTCTTCTGGGGTCCTCAGAGGCCCCACTGTCCAGGCCGGCACTTCCCGCAGCTTGGAGGCCGCGGCTATGTGGATGCAGGGCCCAGACACTGCCGGCTGTGACAGGCTGGGAGTGGCCCTGGTCGGCCATGCTGCCTCTCTGAGCTCCATCTCTTCACCTTCCAGGGGAGGAATGCCCACCTGCCTTGTGTGACCAAGGGAGGAGACAGATGCAGCAGCTGGCAGTGGAGTTGCCCGGCCATGTGCCAGCCTCACACCTGTCCTGGGCCACCTCCTGGGACCTCCTCTGTCATCCTGGCTCCGTCCAGGTCCAGCTGTTGCAATACTGACAGTAGGAGTGGGTGAGCCATCAGAGGGGCTGACACGGCTGGGCCTGGTGTCGCTCTTTCCAGGGAGATCCTGAGCATGGCCTGGGCCCTCTGAGGGGTGGTGGGCAATGGGGGTCCTCGGGGCAGCAGCCTGTTGCTGCCGGGCATGAAGCTACCTCATGGTGCACAAGTGACGTGCAGCCCCTGTACCCTGCCCATGTGGACTCTCAGAGCCACCTCTTGGATCACTCTCCATGACCCACCCCACCCTGTCCGCAAACTGGCGCCCGACATACCGCTGGAGGACAGGACGCCCATCACGTAGAGGAGGCTTCTGTGTGGGAAGACGCCCGTCAGGAGCTCCGTCTCCAGATGCTGCGCCACCACCCGCCACGAGTGCCTGCAGATGGCCACCAGCATGTTGCTGGCCGCGTCCTGGTATATGTCTTCCAGCTCCTGGGGTGGGGTGGGAGCAGGCAGGGCGGGAGGTAGAGTAAGAGCGGCTTGTTACGAGACCTCGCGTCTTCACATGCCAGGGCTGGTTTGAGGGCCAGGACAGCGGCCACGGCCCATGTTTCTTTTGGTAGAAAACTGAGGCTGAGGGAGCCTGAGGCCTTCCTGGTCTGCGTCCATTGCCGGAACACCTCCTCCTCTTCCTCCCTACCTCTGAGCCCTTGCTCACGCTGTGTGCCTGCCTTCACCTCCACTCCCACTTAGAGCCTGCTCCAAGGCCTGGGTTCAGGGCACTCATCCTGAAACCTCCAGCCCACATCACCTCTCCTCCTGAGCTCCTGGCGGCTCAGGACAATGTCACATCTTTCACCATGAATTCAGAAGCAGAGGCTATATTCCTGTCCAAGAGAGCCAGGGCGTCAGCTGCTCAAGGGCAGAGCCCCGCTGACTGGGTCCCTGGCCTCCCTGACCCTGGCCAAGCCCCCACTGTCCAGTGGAGGGGCATCTTCAGCAGGAAGGAACCACATGGGTCCCGGAGCCTGGCTCTGTGTGGTCACACCTGGGACCTTTCTTAACAAGCGTGTGGGTATCCCTTTAGATCTTGCTGCAATTTTGATTTCTACTCTTTTCTCAGTCTTCATGGGAGCCATAAGGCAGCTTCTGTGGCTCTGAGGCAGGTGAACAGGAGGCCTGTCTGCACTTGGGGGCGTCTGAAAGTGGGGGTGTCTGAGCCGTGCCATGCAGCTTGAATCATCGCATGAAATAGATATATCATTTATAACTTATGGAAAGTATGGTTATGGGGGCTTCTTGTGAAGATGGTGATTGAATCTGATTTTGCTCTTTCAAAAAACCTACCTCAGCTGACACTACATTTAGGAGATTTTTTAAAAAGGACAATAGCAACCGCACTGTGGAAGTGGGAAGCAGGTAGGCGAGGGGCCTGAAGACCACGTGTAGGCTAGCGGAGCAGAGGCCGAGCGGCCAGCTCACCCACACGGCACTGTCCCCCAGTATTTGAAGTTGGGGGGGTCTCTTGTCTCCCAGCCTCTAGAACTGGAGGGGCAGTGGAGGGGCTGAAACTAAAGGTGACGTGGTTTTAGAAGTAGTTGAGTCCGTAGATGTACCTCCCACACTCTGCACACGTGAAGGGAGCTGGCCCTCTCCCACCCCAGCAAGACTCTGGGGGCTCAGTCTCTGGAGGGGGCAGATGAGTGTCTCTACCCAGGGGTTGCCAGGCCCGTAAACTCCGGGAATACTCACTTCCCAGGCCAGTCCTGGCATGACTGCCATGGGATGGGACCCTGACCTTTATGCAGGGCCCCTGGGTGAGCGTCTCCCTGGGACTCCTCAGAGCGTAGAAGGGAAGATGGAGAGATGCTGACGTAGCTGGGTGAGGGTGGCAGCAGTGGGCTCACCTGGTCACTCTACGGTGGAACCAAGGGTTCAGGTAGCCAGATGGAAGGGATACGTGACCACAAAGCGCGGTGGCTAATGCTGCCCCCAGAGTGACTTCCACTCCTGCGGAATGGGCAGGACAAAGACTCCACAAGCCCGAGCTCCCCAGCAGACATCAGGTCGCGTGTGAAGGATTACGGTTCAGGATGGCTCTGGATCCTCAACAGCCACGAGGGCCAGAGGACAATGGACAGCGGTTGCCAACCCACAGTCCAGTGTGAAATCAAATCCAGAGATTTCTGGAAATGCACAGGCTCAAAACCTTACTTCCCTTAAGCCCTACCCCAAGAAGCACCTCCAGGAAGCTGAAGTCTGTCTCCAGTTTAAGAAAGTAAATCTGGAAAGGGGAGACTTAGGGTGTAGGAAACACAGTCCCCCACCGGAGCAGGGCAACAGGAGTGCAGGCCCAGGCCGGTCCTCACTGACTCCAAGCTCTATGCTGGGCTGGAAGATTGTCTGAACTCGGCTGGTCCTGACCTAGGTAACAGAGTGCCTGATGCCCGTCTGTGTCCCAGGGGGTGGGTAGGACCCACAGAAGTGTCCGTCTGTGTCCCAGGAGGCGGGTAGGACCCACAGAAGTGTCCGTCTGTGTCCCAGGGGGCGGGTAGGACCCACAGAAGTGTCCCTCTGTGTCCCAGGCAGCGGGTAGGACCCACAGAAGTGTCCGTCTGTGTCCCAGGGGGCGGGTAGGACCCACAGAAGTGTCCGTCTGTGTCCCAGGGGGCGGGTAGGACCCACAGAAGTGTCCGTCTGTGTCCCAGGGGGCGGGTAGGACCCACAGAAGTGTCCGTCTGTGTCCCAGGGGGCGGGTAGGACCCACAGAAGTGTCCCTCTGTGTCCCAGGGGGCGGGTAGGACCCACAGAAGTGTCCGTCTGTGTCCCAGGGGGCGGGTAGGACCCACAGAAGTGTCCGTCTGTGTCCCAGGGGGCGGGTAGGACCCACAGAAGTGTCCGTCTGTGTCCCAGGGGGCGGGTAGGACCCACAGAAGTGTCCGTCTGTGTCCCAGGGGGCGGGTAGGACCCACAGAAGTGTCCGTCTGTGTCCCAGGGGGCGGGTAGGACCCACAGAAGTGTCCGTCTGTGTCCCAGGGGGCGGGTAGGACCCACAGAAGTGTCCGTCTGTGTCCCAGGGGGCGGGTAGGACCCACAGAAGTGTCCGTCTGTGTCCCAGGGGGCGGGTAGGACCCACAGAAGTGTCCGTCTGTGTCCCAGGGGGCGGGTAGGACCCACAGAAGTGTCCGTCTGTGTCCCAGGGGGCGGGTAGGACCCACAGAAGTGTCCGTCTGTGTCCCAGGGGGCGGGTAGGACCCACAGAAGTGTCCCTCTGTGTCCCAGGAGGCGGGTAGGACCCACAGAAGTGTCCGTCTGTGTCCCAGGGGGCGGGTAGGACCCACAGAAGTGTCCCTCTGTGTCCCAGGAGGTGGGTAGGACCCACAGAAGTGTCTGTCTGTGTCCCAGGGGGCGGGTAGGACCCACAGAAGTGTCGACTTACTCTGGGGGCTGGAGCGGGGCTGCAGTGTGTTCAGAAGCAGAAAATGTAGACCAGTCCTGGCCTCATTCATGCCAGACTCCATGCAGGGGCCCCTCCTCATGAAGCCCCAGGAGGGTCTTGTCCACCCTCAGGGAGGCTGAAGCCAGACCACACCCCTGAGAGTGTCCCGAAGCCCTTGCCTCCCCGGGGAAACTGCTCCCCAACCCCATCTCCCTAGGATCATCAATCTGTAAACTGCAGAGACGCCTGAAAGACTTCGCAGTGGTGAGTGTGACAAACACATGCATAAGATTCCAAAAGAAAAAGAAATGAGGTGGAAAAAAGAAATAGGTAGACAGGGCCCTTGCTTCCCATTTTGCTGTCTCTCACACCCAGGGTGGCCTCATTCACTTCTCTGGGGGAGCACAGGGGCATGTCCCACCTGCCACCCACCAGCTGGGCTGTGATTGCAGGCCAGTCCCTAAGGCTCTGGGCTCCAGCCTCCGCATCCGTAAATGGGGCCACAAACCCCTGTGTGGAGGATGTGTTGACCATGCTTGTAGGCCCTGTGCTGGCTGTTTGATGTCTGTTATTCCAAATAACCTCTCCTTGAGTTTGTTGAATCATAGGGCCAGGTGAGCAGCTGGAGCTGCTTACATCTTTTGGGGAGTATGGAAGTCCCATTACAATGCCCTCAACCTGCCTGTGTCCCCGTAGCTCCTAGGAGATGTCTCTACTTCATTACTTCCCACCACCATGGCCCTGAAGGCATGTTCAGATGGTCCCTCTGTCTGCTTTCTGACCCCCGCCTGGGACAGGCCTGTGTGGCCCCGTGGGGTGTGCTGTGCCTCTTGCTTTGGGGAGAGCTTTGAGTATTAAAGACCTTTCAGTGGCCTTTGCCTCCTGCACAATCATGAATTAAGACTCGGCACCACACGGAGGGTAAATGGTGTCTACTCCTGCTTTGTGGGGCACCCTAGTGTGTGTGCGTATTGAGGTGTCCCCTGGGGCTGCCCTGGCCTAGTCAGTCTAAGCCACCTGCTCCCAAGTCTCCACTCTTGGAGTGGAGATTGTTGGCGGCTAGGGCTGGCTCTTGGACTGCAAGCTGCAGGTGGGGTGGGGTGGGGTGGGTGGGACAGTTCAGGTCCAGACCCCCAAGTCTCCATCAAGCAGGAACCCAGAAGGTGGCCAAGGGCAAGGGCAGAGTTACAGCCTGCAGACTGGGTTAGACTCACAGCAGGCCTTCCAGAGGCTGGGCTGCAGGCAGCTGCCATGCAGTGGTGAGGAAGGCGGTGCAGAGGGGAACCATAGCCTGCTTCAGGGAGAGACCTCCTTTGGGGAGAGGGCCCCCCAACTTACGAGCCCCTTGGCTTTAGACAAGCAATGCTCTCTTGAGCCTCACCTTCCTGGAATGGGAACGTGAGATGGAAAAGTATGATTGTCCCGCTGAAGGGGCTGGGGGTAAGAACGTGAGTCACTGGATGGAAATTGCTTGGTAACCCACAAGGCTGGGCATGCCCAGCATCACTTGGGTCCCTGGGGCAGCTGCTGGCATTCCCAGAACCCGTGGGGGGTTGGCCCACTTGCTGTGGGAGGGGAGGCCCACCGTGGCCTTGGTCATGTTCTCCAGAGCGAGCCGTGTGAAAGTTTTCTCCCAGGTCTCCTCCAGGACGTCACTGGCCCCGATGACCATCTCCAGGGTCTGGAACAGCCGGAACTTGTGCCTGCTGGAGATCTGTGGATGGCAGAGCAATGGTGGCTTGGGGACAGATCAGGTCAGATCGTGTGGGAGATGTGGGTGGGGGCGTGGATGGGGAGGGGTGTGAGAGGAGCCATTTCTCTCTGCCACTTCATGGTTCTATGACTCCAGGCAAATCCCTTGGCCTCCCTACGCCTTCGTTTCCCCACCTGTGAGGGTCAGGATCGCCACCTCATGAGCGCATTCTGAGGGTGGTCAATGCATGCGGGTCCACTTTTCTCCCTCCCCACTTGGCCCATTTGACATATGAGGAAATGGAGACTTGCCCCAAGCCATGTAGCTGTTCTAGGCAGGATCTAGGGTTTGAGCCCACCTTGGGGTCCCACCCTCCCCCTCTGCCCCCTGTGCCTGCCCCAGTGGCCCAAGCTGTCCCCACCTCTGGGTTGTCTATGAAGTAGTCGTGGATGGTTTCCATCACCAGCTTGGGGGAGCCATGAGCCATGTTCTTGATCTTCTTGATGATGTACTTCAAGTGGAAGGGGTCAGCACTGTTCATGTCCTGCAGCATCTTGAAGCCGGTGGCTAAGGTTGGCAAGAAGGCATGTGTAAGCAGGCTGTGGGTAGCTCACATTGTGGCAGCAAGGCTCGGCAGGCAGGAGGATGGGTCTGGGGATGGAAGGAGTGCTCTGAAAATGAGAACTGGGGAATGGATGTATGAGAAGTCCAGGACCTCCTGACTGTCCAGATGGACCTTCTGGAGTTCAACATAGGTAAGGAGCAGGAGTGCAGGTGCATGAGCACGTCCTCACTCACCATTCATATTCCCATCCGCCCATCATCCACTCATCCACCTGTCCATCCAGCCATCTGTCCATCCACCCACATGTTCCATCTGTCCATCCTTCCATCTACTAATCCACCTGCTCATCTATCTTTCCATTCATCTACCTGCCCATCTGCCCAACATCCATCTATTCATAAATTTATTCACCCACCCACTCATGAATTCATCCCTCCATCCCCCCATCCATTCTTTTATCCTTTCACCATCCATCCAGTCATCCAGCATTCAATGGTGTTTGAATAAGGGAGGGGCCAGGCCTGGACTGCGGTTCCGAGGTGTGAAAGGGAAAGGGAGGATAGCGGAGGGCGGGGTGTAGGGTGAGCTGGGGCATCATTTGGGCTTTGGATGGTGCCTCAGGAGGCATGAAGAGGCCAAGCCGGGTGTGCAGGGTTCTTTGCTGAAAGCTTCACTATGTCCACACCACTTGATACCCTCAAGGTCCTGGAGTGGAGACTCCCTCTGGCCATCACCCTCAGGACTGCTTTTGGTGGAGGGACATGGTGGGATCTGCTGGAGCCTGACCCCATCTGGGCCGACCCGCCCCTGCCTGTCTGAGCCCAGGGCTGGCAGTCACCTGCACTGTAGGCTTCCCCCATGAACATCCTGTGCTCCTGTAGCATCAGTGTGGCCTGGCTGCTCTGCGACTTGTGAAGCAGGATGGTGGTGGGGTGTGACCATCTGTCCCTGCGGGCAGAGTCCTGGTGTACCTTCATGCAAGATGAGTCCTTCATGGATGTGGAGACAGGGGGGGAGATTCTGAAATGGAGGAGGGGCCCTGGGTGTTGGCATCTGAGTGCGTGTATATTTCTGCGTTAGTACAGGGGGTGCTGAGCGCAGCATTGACTTCCATCGGGCTCAGCTGCATCCTTCCATGTGTTTGTCCTTCCATTCAATGGACTGGCTGGGCCCTGGGAGGAGGGCAGGGGTCTCGAGGCCTCAAGGACACTGTTGAGTAGGCAGCATCACCTGTAGGCCTGGTGCGGCCTGGCCTCCGTGCAAGTGTCAGGTTCTGAGGTTGGGTTTGAGACAGACATGGCTGGTGGGACATGGCAGGGCTCAGGGTATGGTATCCCTAGCTCAGGCTCTTGATTTGAGAGAGCCAATCTCATTCCGATCACATGTGAGACTGCCTTGGTCACCCAGACATCTGGTGGAGTCTCCGAGGGGAGTGGGGGAGCTGCAGGAGCAGTGAGAGCAGAGCAAGGGAGGATGCAGGGGCCTCCAAGGAAGGCCTCCTCTCCTTCCTCCAAGGTGGCCTCTGCCTCCTCCTCCTCTCCTTCCTCCAAGCTGGCCTCTGCCTTCTCCTCCTCTCCTTCCTCCAAGCTGGCCTCTGCCTTCTCCTCCTCTCCTTCCTCCAAGCTGGTCTCTGCCTTCTCCTCCTCTCCTTCCTCCAAGCTGGCCTCTGCCTTCTCCTCCTCTCCTTCCTCCAAGCTGGCCTCTGCCTTCTCCTCCTCTCCTTCCTCCAAGGTGGCCTCTGCCTTCTCCTCCTCTCCTTCCTCCAAGCTGGTCTCTGCCTTCTCCTCCTCTCCTTCCTCCAAGCTGGCCTCTGCCTTCTCCTCCTCTCCTTCCTCCAAGCTGGCCTCTGCCTTTTCCTCCTCTCCTTCCTCTTCTCTTGCAAATATGGGGAAAGCACTACCTCAGGCTGTGTTAGTGGCCACAAAGGGCCAAAAGAGACTGGGTCCTTCCTTTTGGGGATGCTGCCCAAGCCTTGTCCCCCATCACGAGTTCTGCCAGTGAGCCCCTGGGGCAGGAACAGGCTCCTGCTCCACCCACTTCCTGACCTTATTCATTTGTTCACTCTTGGTACCCACTTCCCAGGTGCCTACTATGGGTGGGACATGTTCTAGGCTCCTGGGATGCATCAATGAATGAGATAAAGTCAGCAAATCAAATCAGTGAATTCTGTGGTACATTAGAAGACAGTTCATCTCTCAATATTTTACCCATTCATTTGTCCCACCATGGGAGGGATGCATGTCAGATCATGCCACTCAAAATCTACCCATATGCCTCCCATTTCACTCAGAGTAAAACCCAAAGTCCTGAAGATGACATAAGACACAGATGCTTCCATCCACGAGGGTGTAACAAGGACCAGCTTCACCCTCCTGCCTTAAACAACTCAAAAATTGGAAAAATATACAAAACCATGATTATCAGACATCAGACAACAGCAGCACAGGACAAAGATCTCTGAAAATGGAAAACCAGCACGGTGAGCCCAGCATGGCCACAGCCAGCTGCCTGGGAAGTTTCCAGTTTGCGGCGCAGGGTGAGGAAGCCTGATAAAGCCCAGTAGTCTCTCTGAGTGGAGGAAGTGGACGTGAAAGTCTTGGGGAGCCAAAGTGGCTGGAGTTTGCTGGGAAGAGTCACAGGAGACAGCTGCAAAAGGAGGAGAGAGAGTTCTGGGGCTTTGCAGGGGATCCCCTGCATTCCCCGTCTTCATCTGAGCTCAGTACGTTTGGGAAAAGAACCACAAAGCTCCAAAAAGAGTAGAGGGAACAATCTTTGGAACTCACACAGAGCTAGGAAGAGTTCCTTTTCTCATCAGCAAGAATGGAAAACCTGGTAATTCACAGCGCATTAGGTAGAGTGCTAATGGTATGACCTCAGTAATGGGGGAAAAAAATCTGCCCTAAACAACAATGCTTTGGCTCTTCCTACTAAAGCTTTAAAATCAAAGCCTCAAAGGAACCAAACTTTTCAAGTAATTTAATTGTGTTCAAGAACAAATCTGAAGAATATTTAAAAAGTACAGGAATATCCAGTACCCAACAAGGCAAAATTCACAATGTCTAGCATCCAATCAAAATTTGCTAGGCATGGAAAGAAGCAAAAAAATATGATCTACAATTAGGAGAAAAATCAATTAATTGAAACCAACACAGAAATGATATAATTAGTAGACAAGGACATTAAAACAATTATAACTATAAGGTTGGTGCAAAAGTAATTGCGACTTTTGCCATTACTGTCAATGATATATTTCTCATGTTCAACATGGTAGAGCAAAACATAAGCATGGTAAGGAAAGACATGGGAAATATAAAATGATGAAGAATACATTTCATACTATGAATACACTAGTTTAGCAGCAGATTAAACAATGTAGAAGCGAAGATGAGTGAACCTGGAGACACAGCAACAGAAACTATCCAAAAATGAAACATACAGAGAAAAAAGACTGGAAAAAATAAAACAGAGCGTTAGTGAGCTGTGGGACAGCATCACATGGCATTTTGTATGTGGAATTTGCATCCCCACAGAAGGAAGGGGAAAGAAAACATATCTGAGGAAATACCTCAAATACATTTTACAAATTTGATGAAAATGATAAATCCACAGATCCAGGAAACAACGAATTCCAAGCAAAAGAAATACAAAGAAAACTACATGAAGACACATTGAAATAATATTGCCCAAAGCCAATGATAGGAGCAAATCTTAAAACCAGCCATAGAAAAAAGACACATGAAAGGAACGAAAAATCAGAGCACAGTTCTTGTTGAAAACGGTACAAGCTGAGAGACAGTGAGCAACAATTTAGCGCCCTGAAAGAAAAAAACAAAATGAAACAACAACCTGCCAAGCTGGAATTCCATACCTAGAGAAAATATCTTTAAAAACGGAAGGTGATATAGAAACACTTTTCATGTACACAAAAACCAGAAGAAGTTATCACCAGGAGTCCTGCACTACAAAAAACGTTTGAGATAGTCTTCCAGACAGAAGGAAAATGACAACAGATGGAAATAGGAAACTACACAAAAGAATAACAAGCACCACAAATGGGAAAAATTTAGGTAAATAGAATTTGTTTATTTTTAAAATTTAAAGTAAGAATAATAATGCATTGTGGGTTTATAACAAATATAGAAGTAAAATATATAACAATAATAGCACAAAAGCCAGGAGGGGGAAATGAAAACAAAATATTGGAAGGTGCTTATACTCTTAATTTTACTCGAAGCTATAATTTCACTTGAAGGTAGACCGAGATAAGCTAACATGTATACTAGAAACCCAAAAGCAGGCCGGGCGCGGTGGCTCACGCCTGTGATCCCAGCACTTTGGGAGGCCGAGGCGGGTGGATCACGAGGTCAGGAGATCGAGACCATCTTGGCTAACATGGTGAAACCCTGTCTCTACTAAAAATACAAAAAATTAGCCGGGCGAGGTGGCGGGTGCCTGTAGTCCCAGCTACTCGGGAGGCTGAGGCAGGAGAATGGCGTGAAACCCAGGGGGCAGAGCCTGCAGACAGCCGAGACTCTGTCTCAAAAAAAAAAAAAAAAAAAAAAAAAAAAAAAAAAAAAAAAAAAAGAAACCCAAAAGCAATGACTAAAACAACATAAGACAAAATATGTGTGGCTAACAAGTCCACAAAGGAGATAAGGTGGAGTCATAAAAAATACTCAATGCAAATAAAGGCAGAAGGAGACAAAAAAATGCATAAAAACAGATGAGACAAAGAGAAAACAAATTGCAAGATGGTAGACTAAAACCAAATCATATCAAAAGTCATATTAAATATAAATGATTAAATCACCACAATCAAATAGCAGAGATTGTCAAATTGAATAAAAAAGCAAGAGCCAAGTGTACACTGCCTATACAAAATCCACTTGAAATATAGTAGCTACCAATCAATCAAAAGTAAAAGGATGGAAAACGATATATCATGCTAACACAAATATTAAAAAAACTGTGTGGTTATGTTAATATCAGACAAAGTATATTTTAGAGTAAATAATATAACAGGGATAAAGAGAATCGGTCCATTAATCAAGGAGATATAAGAATCTTAAATATTCATGCATCTAGTCACAGAACTTCAAAACACATAAAGCAAAGAAGTTAGAGCTAGAAGGAAAAATAGACAAGTCAACAATCTTAGTTGAAAATGTCAACATCCATCTATTGATAATTGATAAAATAAGTCGACAGGTAATCAGTAAGAATATAAAAGGCTCAAACAATTATTAACCAACATAACTGAATTGACATTTATAGAACTCTAACCACAAAAGAATAAACTTTATTTTCAAATACACATGGTACATTTACCAAGGCAGACTATATTCTGTGCCATAAAAAGTCTTAGCAAATTGGAAAGGATTCAGATCCAACAAAGCATGATCTCTGACCACATGGAATTAAATTGGAAATCAATAACAGAAAGATAGATGGAAAATACCTAAGTATAAGGAAACTAAATAACATAATTTTAAATAATCCATCGGTAAAGAAGAAATAAAAGGTAATGAAAGTAAAAGGCATCTTGAACAAAAGAAAAATGAAAACACAGCATATAAAAATCCCTGGGGTGCAGCATTAAAACACCTGTATTAGAAAAGAATGAAGGTCTGAAATCAGATTATAACTGAATAAATTAGGAAAAAACCAGCAAATTAAACTCAAGAAAAAAAGAGCAAAAATCAATGAAATAGAAAATAACAAAAAATAGAAAAAATCAATGAAACCAGTAGGTTTTTTGAAAAGATGAAAACATTAATAAACCACTAGCAGGATTTATTAGGGCAAAAAAGTAAAAACACAGATTATTAACATCAGTAAGAGTGGGTACATCATTACAGGTTCTACAGACATTAAAAGAATAATGAAGGGATAGTCTGAATAACTTTATGCCAATAAATTTGGTGACATAGATGGAATAGACACATTTCTTAGAGTCATAAAATACCAAAGCTTACTCAAGAATGAAATAACAAGAATAACCCAAATTATGAAAATCGAATGTGTAGTTGAAAACTTTCCCATAAAGAAAATTTTAGGCTGAGTTGGCTTCATTCTTGAATTCTATCAAGTGTTTAAGGAAGAAATAATACCAATACTACAAACTCTTCCAGAAAATTGAAGAGGAGGGAACACTTCCCAACCCTTCCATGAGGCAAAACCTGACACCAAAACCAGATAAAGATATTGGAAATAAAGAAAACTACAGCCTAATATCTTCCATGAACAGACACAAACTTTCTTAATAAAACAATTTAAAGTATACAGAAATGCTTATCCATCATCTCCTAGCGGGGCTTATCCTGGGAATACCAGGCTAATTGAATATTTGAAAAATCAGTCAATGTAATTCACTAGATTGACTAAGGAAAGAAAATACAATGATCTCAATAGATGCAGAGAAACATTTGGTAAAACCCAACATCTATTCAAAAATAAACATAGGAATTAAGAAAAATTCCTCAACCTGATAAAGAGTATCTATAAAAATCCTACAGCTAACATCACACTTTATGGTGGAAGGCTGAATATTTTTCCACATGACTGGGAATGAGGCAAGAAGTCTGCTCTTACCTCTCTCATTCAACATTAGACTATGGACTTAATCAATGTAAGAAGTCAACAAAAAGGAATAAAAGTCATACAGCCTGGGAAAGAAGAAACAAACTATTTTTATTTGTAGAAGGCATTATTATACAAGTGGGAAATTCCAAATCTACAGAAAAGCCTACTAGAACTAAAAAATAAGTTCAGCAAATTTGCAAATTGTAAGGTCAATAAACAAAAATTATTCATATTTATACATACTGGCAATGAACAATTGGGAATTGAAATAAAAAAGGTACCATGTACACTAGCACCAAAAATCATGAGTTATTTAGGCATAAACCTAACCAATAATTGCAAGGTCTGTATACTGTAAACTACAAAATATTGATGAAATAAATCAAGAAAATAGATAGATACACCATGTTCATGGATTGGAAGACTCAATATTGTTCAGATATTAATTTTCTCTAACTTTTTCTAAATATTCAATGCAATTTCAATAAAAACCCCAGCAAGAATTTTTTTTGGTAGTAACCAACAAGCTGTTTCTAAAATTTATATGGAAAGGTAAAGAAACTAGGATAGTCAAAAAGATTTTGTAGAAGAACAAAATTGGAGGACCATTACCAATGTCAAGACTTATTGTCAAGCTATAGTAATCAAGGCAATGTAATATTGATAAAAGCACATAAATATAAATATGTGTAACAGAACATGGATTCCGGAAAAAGGCCCACACATATAAGGTCAATTGATTATTTTTGTTTTGTTTTGTTTAGAGATAGGGTCTCACTCTGTTGCTCAGGCTGGAGTACAGTGGTGTGGTCATAGCTCACTGCAGTCTCAAACTTCTGGGCTAAAGCAATTCTCCTGCCTCAGCCTCTTGAGTAGTTGGGACTATAGATGCATGCCACTGTGCCTGGCTTCAACTGATTTTTGATAAGTGTGCAAGAGCAACTCTATTAAAAAAGCATTAACAGATGTTGCTGCAATAATTGAACAGACACATGCAAAAAATAACCCCTAATCCATACCTCACACCATATGAAAAATTTACTCAAAAAGATCATAGACCCAAAAGTAAGACCTAAACTTCTAAAACTTTCAGAAGAAAATATAGGAGGAAATCTTTATGATCTTGGGTTAGACAAAGATTTCTTAGATGTGACACCAAAAGCACTATATAAAAGAAGAAATGATAAATTTGATTTCATAAAAATTAAAAACTTCTGCTTTTTGAAAGATACGTGAAACATGTTGGAATCAAAATGGAGTCACTGTGTTAAAACTCTGATAAATGGGGCTGGAGGAAGCCTTAAAGGAATGGTTCTCATGCACAAATGCCTGACTGCAAGAACGATCACAAAAGACTCTGCAAAACCCACAACCTTGCACAAAGGCCAATTGCAACCTTACACACACACACACAAATACTTCTGTGAGGTCATCTACCCAGAAAACTGTCTTTCCAACCTAGGACTCACCCCAGCCTTGTTATTGACCCTTGTAGCCAAGAATTATTATTTCAGAACAACTTATATAATCAATCATTTTAATTTTGCCTTTAAAAACTTACCCTTGCCCCAGCCTTGAATAGGCATGTGGTTTACTATGGCACACGTATTACTATTGCAATGCCCATTCCTGAATAAATATCATTTTCTTTTAGAGATCCCCTCTGTCTTTATTTTATTTTTGTTTTCTAGAGAGAGACTTGATCTGTTGCCTAGGCTGGAGTGCAGTGGCACAATCATAGCTCACTCACTGTAGCCTCAAACTCCTGGGCTCAAGAGATCATCCTGCCTCAGCCTCCCAAGTAGCTAGGACTACAGATGCATGCCACCATGTCTGCCTATTTTTTTTTTTTTTATTATAGAGGCAGGTTGTCTCTATATTGCTCAGGCTGGTCTTGAACTCCTGGGCTCAAATGATCCTCCTGCTTCCACCTGCCAAAGTGCTGGGATTACAGGCATGAGCCACTGCACCTGGTCCCCCTCTCTTTTATTTAGATTAAGGGATATGCATTAAAAAATGATAAGCTGCAGACTTGGAGGCAGTATTTGCAAATCACATATCTGATAAAGGACTATCTCCAGAATATAGAAAGAACTCTCAAAACAAAACAAAGCAAAGCGCAAGCGGCCTAAGGAAACACAGGCAGGAGACTGGGACAAGGCATCAGAGGAGGCAGACAGATGGCAAAGAAGCACCTGAAAAGCACTCAACATTTCTCACGAGGGAAACCAACTAACACCACAGTGGGCTATCACTACACATCTACTGAAATAGCTAAAATCAGAGACACTGGAAATACCAAGTGCTGGTGAGGTTGCAGAATAGCTCTGAGCTTCCATACATTGCTGGTGGGAATGCACAGTGGCACAGCCCTCTTGGAAGATAGCCTGGTATTTGCTAATAAAGTCTAATGTACACTTACCAAATGGCTCAGCTACCCGCTCCTAGGCATTCACTCAAGTGAAATGACTACTGACTAAAATATATACACAAACATTTATACTGACTTTATTTATGCTATCTCCACATGGAAATAATCCAAATGTCCCTCACCCTGGGAATGTATAAACAAACCATGTCACACTCACAGTAATGCTACTCAGCAACAAAAGAGGTGAATCACTGATAAACACAAAAACATGGATGCTCCAGGAGGGAAACCAGATTCCAAAAGCTACATTTGGTGTCATTTCATTTTTATGACATTCTGAAAAAGGTGAAACTACAGACAGAGAGCAGGTCAGTGGTTCCCTGGGACTGGGAGTTGGAGAGAGTTCACTACAAAGGGATGGGAGGGAGTGTCTGGGAGATGGAGTTGTCTGGGCATCCTGTACCCACCGCCATATTTTGTTTGTGATGGTGAGTCCATGACTATATACATTTGTCAAAATTTGAAAGCTATACACTAAAAATAGTGAATTTTGTCATCTGTAAATCATACTGTAATCGAAAAGAAAAAAGACACATAAGAACAAAAATGGTCTCTCTGCCCTTATTTCCTTCTGCTCTCCCTTGCTTATTCCACTCCAGTGGTGGGGTGCTCCCACCACCGGGTGCACATCTACTTCTGGACCTTTGTGTGGCCACTCCTTCCGTCTGGGGAATGCCGTTCCTTCAGATGGCTGCCTGGCTCAGTCCCTCACCTGATTTTAGTCTTTGCTCAGTTGTCACCTTCTTGAAGAACTGATTTAAATCCTCACCCCACACTTCCCCCTCCCCACCCTCTCTTTTTTCCGTGTCACTTTTTGCCCTGTAACATCATATCCTTTACTTTCCTGCTTCTGGTCTCACTGGCAGGTCTCCCTACCTGGAATGTAAGGCATGAGGGCAGGGTCTTTATCTCTTTTGTTCCCAGCAGTATCCCCGACACCTAGAACACCTGGTCCACGTAGCAGGTGCTCAGCAAATACTGGCAGAATGAATGGAGAGCTTCATAGCAGGTGATGTATCCAGAGCCACCACCGGCCCTGTCCTGACCTTGGACATGGCATTGTGACAGCCCTCCCACCTCTCCAGGATCCAGTCTGTCCCCTGTAATCATCACACCAGATCCAGCTTCCCAAATGCCTTCTGGTGGACCCTGTGAGGCTCTGCTTCCCTGGCCCCTCTGCCCAGAGCATGTCTCCTTCTCCTCCTTTCTTTCTGTCCCTTTGCCAGGGCTGTAGGAGGATACCCACCAGGCTTCTCCATCCCATAACTGCAGCAGAGGGTTGGAGTTGCCTGAGAAGCTGCATTTCTGCACATCTGAGCTTTGCTGTCTGAAGAGCTCTAGAGCCTCCGTCCTAGATATCACGTGTTCTGACATCTCCTGGCATCTCAGGGCCAGGGCAGCTCTGGGGAGGCCCTCAGACCCTGCTCTCTTGACCTTGAGAGGTCAAGACACAGTTTACCCCTTCTGGAAGCCGCCTCCTTCCTGTGGCCTCTCAGAAAACTAGCCAGTTCCCTGATCCTGGAAAGGGTGACCTTCCAGACAAACCTGGCTGGGGCCCACTCTGGGAGTGGGAGTGAGGATCCCGTTGGAGCTAGAGCCCGGCTTCCCCCAGGCACAGCAGTGGTAACAGCATGGGCCGCAGGCACCAGCGAGGCCTGTACCTTGCCCCTCCAAACCCACATCACAGCCCCTGTGGCTTCCAGAGTTAAATGCATTTTTAAAAATAGAAAAACGATGTGAACACACTATTAGCAAACATCTGCAGAGGAGTACTCTTGGCTTAGCAGCAACAGAAGCTATGGCAGAGAAGGGAGGCCTGACAACATTCAAACGTGGACTGCGAGAGCCGGAAATACCTGAGTTCACAGGCAGGTACCAAGACATTCCTGGAACAGCCACCGTAGGCAGCGTGGATTGCAACAGGGAATCCTGCTCTGAACCCATGGCTTGGCTGTGGGCCCCAGCCCGGGTGGACGAGTGTCTGGACAGCAGAACCTGCTCTGAGTCCCCATAGAGGGGGCGGGCAGGGCTCTGGGCTGGGGGCCAGACAGCTCTGACCTGCGTATCAGACACAGGAAGGTAGAGATGCCCTTTGTGTCTTTCCAGGTTCCTGGGACACTGGGGTTCCCTGGGGACCCTGGAAGGCTGTGGAGGAACCTTCCTTTATTCATGTCCCTTAAATCTCTGCAGAAACTCTGGCTGTGGTATCATCTCAATTCTGCTGAATAGAAGCCGAGGCCCAGAGAAGCAGGTGAACGGTCTGTCCATCCATTCACTGACCCGTTCACACAGCCTGCAGGCACTGTTGGCAACACAGGCCATGGTCCCTCTGGCCCTCACACAGGTGCAGGCTATGTGGGCAAGGCCCTCACTCCAGTTTAAGCTTCCGCCCTCCTGACCTCCTCTCCTCCAACCTGATCCCCACTCCAACCCCTGCAGGCTGCTCCTGGGGGCAGGACCCTCCTTCCTCAGCACAGGGGCCCCTGGATGGCCTGCAGGGAGGCTCCCCTGACAGATGAGGAGGCTGAGTACCGGTGGGGGGGGGTCAGGGGGTCCCTGCTGGGGTTGAGCTGACCTGGAGTTTTGGGACACGGCTGACGACACTCTACCCGTCGGGGTGCAGCTGTATGGCCTTTCAGAACACTGCCTGTCCATGGTTGGGGTGCAGTGCAGACCCACAGGAGCTCACCACTAACTCTGGCCTCACGCCTGTGGGCCGGCCCTGTCTACGGCACTGGCCCTCCCCCGCCCTGGCAGGCCTGACCTCACCCCTGAGGTCACAATGGTTCCAGTGTCCACAGCATCCTTTCTAGGGTCTGTCTGTGTTGTGGGGACAGCAGGTGTGCGTGTGTGCCTGTGTTTGTGGGTGCGTGCTCAGACGTGGGTCCTCAAGGGGTCCCGGGCCTGCCCCTTCCTTCTCTGGGCCTCAGTTGTCTCCTGGGAGACCCGTGGATGATCCGGCTTGGGCCATTTGTTTGCTAAGTCCAGGTCCCTGTGTGGGTGGCAGGTCCCGGGGCTGGAGCTGTGACTTCCCCTCTGGGTCTGAGTGTGAGCACGTGCGATGCGCTGGGCTCCCCTCTGGGCGTGAGAGTGAGCACCTGCGATGTGCTGGGCTCCCCTCTGGGCGTGAGAGTGAGCACCTGCGAGGTGCTGGGCTCCCCTCTGGGCGTGAGAGTGAGCACCTGCCATGTGGTGGGCTCCCCTCTGGGTGCGGGTGCTTGCCGCTTCTGGGATCCTCTCCAGCCGAAGGAACCAGGAGCGGGGAGAGCCTGGGAGCTCAGCCTGTGGGGCTGGGCAGGCTGCCCCGAATCAAATCCAGCCCCCTCTCTGCTGACCGCGTGCCCGGGAACCTCGCCGTGCCTCGCTGTGCACTCCTCCCCGTCTGTAAGACTGGAGCAGGACCGAGGGTCAGAGCGGCCGCTGTGGGCCTGGCCCTGCTCACCGCCCTGGGATTGGGGTGGAGCTCAGAGAGGGCCAGGAGCCAGCGGCTGGTCGCACAGCAATCAGTGGTGGAGATGAGCCTCAAACTCAGGTCCCCAGACCCGAGTCTAGGGTGAGGACGAGGCCCCTGGAGCAGTGGCACCCCCTCCCTCCCCGCCGCCTGCTCCGCGACCCGGCCCCCGCGCGGCCGGCAGATGGCGCTGCGGGCCCAGGCAGGACTCGCGCGGCAGGAGGGCCGCGGCCTGGACGGGGGGCCTGTGAGAGGCGCACGTGCCACCCAGCCCACGCGCCCTCCCCGCCGCACCCTCCCTCCAGCCAGGGACCCGCAGAAAGGGCGTCATGGGTAGGGGTGCCTGGCATCCCACCGCCTTAGGCCTGGGGCTGCGGGCACTACCCACTGGGGGCAGTGAAGCCGGAGGGCGCCACGTGGGTCCCACCACCTAGACTTTGCCTAGGCCGTTCCCCCTCCTGCTGTTCGCCTGCAATGAGGAAGGGGCCAGACTCAAGGGCCGGGCAGCCCCCTGGCCTCCCAGGCTCCTTCTCTGTGTCCCTGCCCAACTCCCCGGGGTTCCTAGGCTGCAGCCAGGTTTGAGGCTTTGTGCAGTGCCTTCCTCCTGGAATGCGCCCTGCCCCCCACTTTCCTAGAGAAACTCATTTTTGCCCTTTCCTATTTGTCCTTGGAGACCCCCGCCCAGGCCACCTCCTCGGGGAAGCCACCCTGATTTCTTTGGGCTCCCATAGCATTTATTCTCGAGGCGGTTTGTTCAACCTTGCTGGGCTTGACTGGGCGGCGGGATGGTGGGGGCTGTGGTTTGACTGGAGGTGACAGGAGGGGCCAGGTGGACACCCATGCCCCTTGTCCAGCTGGGTCCCACCTCCAGCTCCCCTGGCTGCTGCCCCAAGGCCTGACTCTGTGAATTTCCCTTCCCAGGAGACAGTGGCCCTGTTTGACCAGTGGACACCCCCACAGAAGACGTAAACATAAGACCTGAAGCTGTAAAACTCCTAGAGGGAAACAGGGGAAATGCTGTTTGACATGGGTCTTGGCAATGATTTTTTGGATATGAAGCCAAAAGCACAGGCGAAAAAGCAAAAATAGACAAGTGGGACTACACCAAACTCAAAAGCTTCTGCACAGCAAAGGAAACAACAAAATGAAAAGGCAGCCTACGGAATGGGAGGGAATATTTGCAAACCCTCTCTCTGATAAGGGGTTAACATCCAAGATATATAAGGAACTGCTGTCACTCAATAGCAGAAAACCAAATCAGCCAATTAAAAAGTGGGCAATGGATTTGAATCGACATTTATCCAAAGAAGACAAATAATCAGCCGGTATATAAAAAGGCACCCGACATCACTTATCACCAGGACATGCAAATCAAAGCCACAGTGAGACCGACTTGCACCTGTTAGGATGGCTGGCATCAAAAAGACAAGATGGCAAGTGTTGGCCGGGGTGTGGAGAAAGGGAGCCCTTGTACCCTGTTGGTGGGAATGTAAAATGGTGCAACCAGTATAGGAAACAGCATGGAGGTTCCTCGGAAAACTAAAGATAGATCTGCCATCTGATCCAGCAATCCCTCTACTGGGTTACAGCCAAAGGAAATGGCACCAGGATCTTGAAGATAGAGCTGTACTCCCATGATCGCTGTGGCTTTGTTGAGGATAGCCAAGATACGGAAACGCCCGAAGTGTCTGTGGTCAGATGAATGAAGAAAGAAAATGTGGTATAGACACATGATGGAATATTAACCTTTAAAAAGAAGGAAACCTGCCATATATGACAACGTGAATAAACCTGGAGGATTTTATGCCAAGTGCAATAAAGCCAGACCCAGAAAGGCCAATGCTGCTTGATTCTGCTTCTACATGGAATCTAAAATAGTCAAAGTCAGAAGCAGAGAGTAAAATAGTGGTTCCCAGGGCGGGTCGGGGGAAAGGGGAAAGGAGGCATTGCTGCTGAATGGGGATGAAGTTTCAGTGAGGATGAGTTGCAGGAGTCCGCCGTGCCACATTGCGCCCATAGTTAACGGAACTGCACTGCACACTTAAATGTTTGTTAAGTGCGTAGATCTCACGTTAAGTGTTCTTATCACAGAAAAACAAAAACACCCACCACAAACAACCACCACTGAGCACACCCGACCCAGCCTCTAGTGGCAGCACTGGGATCCCCAAGGGGGGCTGCAGGGCCTCCAGGTTGGCCCTCCCCTAGCAGCTGCGGCCTGGCGGGGCTCTGGGCTCTTGCTGGGGCTCTGTGCTCCCGGCTGAGGGAGTCCCTGTCCTCTCTGAGCCTCGCTGCCCTCAGATGCACAGCAGGGATGGACTGAGGCCCCTCCAGGGGGGCAGAGAGAGTGCCCACCTCCTGGCCCTGGGTGGTCCCCATCCTGCAGATGGTTGATTTCCTATGCCAAGATTGCCTAGGGAGGGTCCCACTGGCGGCTCTGGGGTCCACAGGGTGGGGCAGCCCCGGTCAGCCCCAGGCCCGGGTCCCCAAGCTGGGACACTGCCCAGGGGTTCTTCCTCTCCTTCCAGGGCTCCCCTCCTCCTCCACACCCCCTCCTACGCTTTCACAGAAAAAAGAGTGGAGAAAAGGCAAAAGAAAGAGGTTTTCTCCTCCGCTTTCTGAAAATGAGATTTTAAAAATAACTCCTGGCGGGGGGAGCGCTGGGAGGGGCCTTTCTGGGGAGGCCAGCCAAGCCTGCTCTCCCTCCTCCATCAGCAGCCACCCCCCAGGGCCTTTCTGGGGAGGCCAGCCGAGCCTGCTCTCCCTCCTCTGTGCCTGCTCTCCCTCCTCCGTCGGCAGCCACCCCCCGGGGCCTGGGTCTGCATGCCTCCACCTAGAGGCTTCTTCTGCCGGGCCCCCTTCTCTGTCCCTCAGGAAGGTGGGGCCTTCCTGACCTGCTGGAGGAGGCAGCAAAGGCCAGTGTGTAGCAGGGGGGCTGCTGGGGGGAGGGGGTGATGCTGATGGTGGAGGAATGTATGTCAGGCTGTGGCCCCAGGCAGGAGAAGGGGGCTGGCTCCTACAAGTCCCCTGCGTCTCCTCTGTCTTGCCGGTGCCCTCGGCCTCCTCTCGGCTCACTGCTCACCAGCCACAGGCCTCCTGGGCTGATGTTTCATGGTCCTCAGGGGCTGGGGCTTTTCCTGCCACAGGGCCTTTGCACACGCTGCTCCTAAGGCCCGCCTACCCCCTGCTTCAGCATCATTCCCTGAAAGGCCATCTCAGATCACAGAATGGACACAGAGTGTCCCCCCGACCTCGACATTGTCAGAGCTCCCTGCAAATTTCCCTTTCACAGTGGCATTTCCTTCTGGGTTTCTCTCTATTGCCCTCCCGCTTACAGTAGAGAGGCACCGGAGGGTGGGCTGGGCACAGATGCTCTTGCTCCCTCACCCCGCACTTAGGCTCTCGTCATTCCCATTCTTCACCTGCCATCACCTGTGTTTCTCTCTGGGGGGATCTCTGGCCACTGCTGAAGCTACCAGGGAATCCAGCTTTCCTGGGAGCAGCCCTTGACCCGTGATTTGGGGGCGGGGACAGACGGCTCAGCCCTACCCCTCCGATGGGGTGACCCAGTGGGATCAAGCCCCGGTGGCTTCCAGGATGCTGAGTGCTTGACAACGCCAATCCGGCTTCCCACCTTCTGAGTCTCTCTTCCTCCCCCACCCCACAGTGTTTCCTGGGATCACATCCTAAGAACATGCCTGCCCTGAGTTGCTGCCTTGGGGTCTGCGTGGTAGGCAGAAGAAATGCCCCAAAAATGTCAATGCTCTCATGCCTGGCACCTGGACTTATTAGTTTTTATGGCAAAAAAGGGCTTTGTAGCTGGATGAAATTAAGAATCTTTAGGGACATTATTATCCAGGTGGCCCCCAGTGCAATCATGTCTGGCCTTACAAGAGGGAGGCAGAGGCAGGTTTGACTACAGAAAGAAAGGAGGCCGTGTGGCCCCGGAGGCAGAGGTTGGAGGGAGGCGGCCACCAGCTTTGGCAGAGGTGAGGAAGGCTCCTGCCAGAACCTCTGGGGCGAGTGTAGCCCTGTTGGCTTGATTTTGGCCCAGGGATGCAACTTTAACCCAGGATGGTGTTAATTAGTTACAGCAGCTCCAGGAAGCGCACTCTCAGCTGCAGGGGAGCCCACACTGAGACGCACTGGGTGGGCTTCATTCTTGCTGCCAAATGAAGTTGTCCCTCCAGATGCTGGGCACATGGCCACCCAGGAGTGGATGGCATGTCCCAGCCTCTCTTGCAGCCAAGGGGGACCACAAGACCAAATCCTCAGCCCTGGAATTTGAGAAGTGGAGTGGGCAGTGCCCTGGAATTTGAGAAGTGGAGTGGGCAGTGCCCTGGAATTTGAGAAGTGGAGTGGGCAGTGCCCTGGAATTTGAGAAGTAGAGTGGGCAGTGCCCTGGAATTTGAGAAGTGGAGTGGGCAGTGTCTCCTTGTGTTCTCCATAGGAAGCTGCCAGCCCACGACTGCCTTTGCCCCTCCCGGGCTGGGATGTGGTACGTGCCGCTGCACCTCGGCCTCGCAGATGAGGACACCCACCCCTGGGTGAGGGCAGAGCCACAGGCCAAAGAGCCTGGGCTCCTGAGTATCCCCATGGAGCAGAGCTGCCCTCGAAGCCTGCAGTGGCTGGACTGTTGCAGGAGGGAGACAAATGTTCTGTCTTGTTTTAGCCACTGTATTTGGGGGTGCTTTGTTGCAACAGCTTAGATGTCTCCCTGACTGATACAGCTTGGTTTAGAGGCCACTAGCCAGCTGAGGCTTGGTCCCCAGGAGGTGCTCAGTGGCGGTCTGCAGAATGAGCATGTCAGGATGAACTGTTTCTTCCTCTTGTAGTCACACAATGATATTGATAGCTGAGCTGCCATTCAGGACCATCATTCGGCCGGAGCCCACCAGGCTGAGCTGAAGTTGACCTGCGCCTGCCTTGAGAATTGGTGTCGGGGGGCCACCTGGCCGGAGCACAGGAAGGTGGAAAACACATGCTGGCCATGTGAATACAGGACCACACTCACCACGGCTGATTCTGAGGTCCGAGAGCTGGGTGTGCTCCTGCCTACAGGTGCCTGGAGGGCTGGGCTTCAGCCTCTGCTGGGTCTCCTGGGCTGCACCCCAGCCTTGCTGGAGGTGGGGGAGGGCATGGAGTGTGGCTTGTCTGGGGAGAAGGGTTCCAGCTCACCTGCTGGGGCTGAGCAGGCCTTTCTTTAAGTCTGGCCCAGAGGATATGGCCCAGGCCTGTCCTGAGGGGTTCTCAGGGGGGTGGGAAGACAGAATGGGTACAGGGTTTTGCCATGACAACCCTGGCCTTCCCTGCCTCCCGCATGCCCACCTTCCTAAGTCTGAGGCTGGCACTGACCTAGGAATCTCAGCGGAGGGAGCTGGAGCCTGGGCTGCTCAGAGGGTGTGGCCCCGAGGGGCAGGGCCCTGGACATGGGACCATGTGCAGCCTGAGGTCATCACCAGGACACATGGGAGCCCATGGAAGGCAATGGAGGGACCATATCCAAACAGATGACTTCTGATGGGGTGCCAGCCAGGCCTGGGAGGCTCTCAGGTACAGAGCAGGCCAGGTGGGCTTCCTGAAGGAGGTGATATGAGCCAGAACCTGAAGGGGGAGCATGAGTTTGCATTGCAGAGGAGAGTGGGAAGGGCACCCTCTCAAGGCAACTGCACAGAGATGTGGAGGTGCAAAAATACAGAGACCAGGAGAGGGGAGGGGCCCCTGCTCCCCAGTCAAGCCCCGTCCTGTCCTGCGTCACAGCCCTGCTGTATTAGAGGCTGTGGTAACAGAGAGCCTGGCATGAGTGACACTCAAACACCAGGGGCATTGACTGCTCAATCACATCCCAGTCTGTGGCTGGGGTTCTCCTTGTGAAGAGCCAGGCCCCAGCTCAGGCCCCTGGGAGCACTTACCTTTCTTTCCCTGAGGCCATCTCTGGCTGCCAGGCTCCTTACAAGCCACACCTGCTGGGGATACAGCAGCCCACGGCTGTTTGGGCAGGCGGGGTAGCTCTGAGGCCATCTCCGGTAAAACTGTGCTGGGATGCGTCTTCCCAGGCTTTGTTCCCTTCTCTGTCTCATGTCCCCACCCCTACCAGCACTTGATCCCACTTTGGGGGAACTGATATCCCCATGAGCTCTTTGTGGCTGAGGCAAGGTCTGACCTGCTTCATAGGGACTACTGGAGTTGCTGAAGATGGGGACTGCTGACCTGGGCTCTGAAGACTTCGGGAATGCCTGTGGGAGCCCCGTGGTCTGGAGGGACAGGCCAGCTGAGGCTGGATCAAGGCCTCGGCTGCCCTGAGAGCACTCACAGGCTGCGGCTGTGGACACCAGGCTGACCCGAGGTGAGTCAGGAGGAAGAGTGCTGGTGGGGACAGGCTGGCGGTCTCTGGGTGCCAGGTTCTCATGGTCTCTGAGCAGGGCAGGTGAGCAGATGTGACTGGGGATTGATCTCGGAGGGTTGCTGGGTGCAATGGGAAGGGTTAAGGATGGGAGGCTGGCCCAGAGGGTGGCCCTGCAGGGTCCAGGCGAGGGGCAGGGTGCTGGGTGAGGGGCTGCAGTGATGCCCACAGAGAGTTTAGTGCGCAAGAGGCCACTGAGCCCACAGGTCCCCACTCAGCCTCCCCCACAGCCCCAGCCCACTCCTGAGTGGAGGCCCTTTAAACGCAAGGTTCTGTCCTCCCCTGGGAGGCCCCTCCCCGTCTCCTGGGCAGCCTAGTAAACAGAAGCCTGTCTCCCGGGCTGCTGGCATGGCCTCCTCTTGTCCTGGGACCCCCAGCCCAGCAGGTCTGCCCCCTCCTTCTGTAGCCACTCCAGGCGAGACACTTGGTGAGGGAGGGGAATGGACGGGAAGGGGGACGGGGCACCTGGGGCTCTGAGAATGTGGGAGCAGGAAGCGGCCCTCTGACCCATCTTCCAGAAGAAGATGCTCTGCCAAGGTCATGAAGGAGAGTGGCAGTGGGGCTGGGCCAGGATGGGGGCATGCGGGCATCAAAGCCTCCCTGTAAAGGTCCTTCTCCTCCCTACGCTCCCCAATGCTCTGATGCTCTGAAGTCCCCAGGGAAGGGGTTGGCTCTCTTCCTGAAGCCTTTGGATCTATGGACCTGGAGGTGTGCAGGGTCCTTCTCACTCTTTAGGGCCCCTTCCGGATCATTCTCCTGCCCTTGCCTCTTCTAAAACTCAGCTCTGGATCTCAGAGGCAGTGGGAGGGGCAGCCAGCCATCCATTCACTCACCCATCTATCCACCCATCCACCCACCCATTCACCCACCCACCCATCCATCCATCCACCCAACCATCCATGCATCCATCCATCCATCCATCCATCCATCCATCCATCCATCCATCCATCCATCCATCCATCCATCCATCCATCCATCCATCCATCCATCCACCCATCCACCCACTCCTCCACCCACTCATCTGCCCACCCATCCGTGCACCCTGCTCATGGTCAATGCCTTCACTCCTAAAGACCCTGGCCCCTGCCCTGCCCTCTCCCTAGCTCTCCTGTCATCCTATTGGTGATTTCTCTCAGCCCCTCGGACTCCTGTAAGGATTTTGTCCTCTCACCCAGCCACCCACCCGACAAACTGTACCCAAACTGCAGTCCCCTTGTCCCCACCGCACTCTGGGGATTCTTGCCCCAGCTCCTGCCCTCGAGGGCCAGCCCCAGCACTCCTTTAGTGAGGTGGAAGCCCACAGTGTCTTCCACCTGTCTGGCCTCCTCCACCCCTCCTCACATCTTTGCCATGGCCTCTGCCCCCTCGCTGGCCCCTCTCCTGTTTTCTTGTACTAGTCTGGCAGCTCCAACTCCCTGCTACCCTTGCCTGTGCCCTTGCAGTGGGCTGCAGCTGAGTGAACTCCACCTTGCTAATGCCTGCACTTGGCTTCAGCAGCAAGGAGGCCGGCTCCGCTGCCCTCCCTGGTCTGCCCAGCCTCTCCTCACCTAGCAACCACCTCGCACCTTCTCTCCCTCTAAGCCCCCATCGTCTCTCTCCTCACACTGTGCTGCTGGCCTTGCACCCTCCTTCCCTGAGAAGCTGAAGGCATTGGAAGAGGACTTTGCTGGTGCCCACCCACTGTACTTGTGGCATTGGGCGCTGTCCACCCCGGCCTGCTCCTGTGAATGCCCCATCCCTCCTCCCAGCCAAAGGCAGCATTCAGCTTCTCCCATTCCATCCCCCAACTCACGCTGTCACTCCAGCAACTCTTCACCCTCTTTCTCCTGCATCATGATACCGCTCTTTCCCAGGTCGTTCCCACTGGCATGAAAGCATGCTGCGATTTATCCTGTCTCTTGACCCCACTTCCCTTCCGTCTCCTGCCCTACTTCTCTGCTCCACATTCAGAGCCGAACCTCAGGAAGGTCATTTGTCTTTGCTGCCTCCACGTTCTCCCCTCTCCTTTGCTCTTGAACCCACTCTCACCGGGTTTTAATTTCCAGTGCTTCACTAAAGCAGCTCTAGCAAAAGTCATCAATGACCTCTGCGCTGGTAAGTCCGAGGTCACTTGGACTCATTTGATGTGATGCGCCGGCAGCACACGGCTCAGGTCCCTGCTGCCACACTTCCCACGCTCCCATCACTGCCCGCTCCCTCTTGGTGCCCTCACTGGCTCCTCATCTCCTTGACCTGGTCAGGAGGGAGGACCCGAAGCTCTCTGCTTGCGCTTCTGCCCTTTCTAACCCAACTCCCTCAGTGATTCATCTAGTTTTGTGGCTTAAACATCATCTCCCCAGTGTCTATCTCCAGCCTCGACCCCTCTACAAGCAGAGCAGTCCAGGCTCTTGTGTGAGCGGATCTTCTCCAGCCTCTGGGCTCCACTCTTATCCCCAGCATGGCGCTGTCCACGGTGCTGATTTAGGAAAGTACTTCCCATTGATCAAACAGGCTGGTCAATGTCATCTCATCTGCAACTGCAGCAGAACAGGGTTGGTTGGCTCCATTTTCAGAGGCTCATGGAAGGTGAAAGACTAGCCCAGGCCCTGACAGGTGGAAGGACCCCCACGTCTGTGCTCCTCATGGCTGTAGTCAATGGCTCAAACAGAGCCTGCCTGCCACACAGTAGGTGCTCAGTGAATATTTGTGCAGAGGGAAGAGACTGTTAATCAAAAGGCCCTTGAGCCGGGGGCGTGGCATAGTGGAAAGTGATTGCCCAGCCCAGGGCTTCAGCTTGGCATCTGTGTATGACTTCTCTGGGTCTGTATCCTCACCAGTAAAACAGACTGAATATTGTTACCCCTCCCAAGGGTGTTGGGAGAAGGATCTGACAATTCATGGTCATATTCATCCATTCCCACTTCCTAGCCTCCCAGTGTGGCCATCCCCAGACAGCTGCCTGGTCTGGCTCCTGTGTCCACCTGACTACATTCTTTCCTGGACTGTGTGCCCAAGTGAGGTCCCATGGCTGCTTTGCTCACTTCAGTATCCCTACAGCTAAGCACATTTGCTGAATGAAAGAAAGAAAGAAGGAATGTAGGGGTCTCTCCTGAATGGAGGACCTAGATTTGGGCAGGGTGTGGACCATGGGCCAGCAACGTGGGTGCCTTCTGGGGACCACGGATAGGCTGAAGGGTGGCATGACTGAACCAAAACCAAACTCCTCTTCCACCTCCGCTCCCTCCTGGGGCCGCACCTCCCTCTGGATTCCAGGGTCAGCTGTGTCCAGGCTGCGAGCCAGGCTGTTCCCACAGGCTCCTCCCTGTCTCTGTCTACAAGGCCTGGCGATCTGGCCCTGCAGCCTCTCCCCAGGTGGCGTTTTCCCATCCTCATGTTCATCTTGTCCTCCCCTGGATCTGACCTTGAAGCTGGGCCCCCAAAGTCCATTCTCTGCACAGCGGCCGGATCAACTTTCAACTGAGAGTGACTGCTTCACCTCCTGCCCCAAGCTGGCCACTGTCTTCAGGGAGAACCTCAACATCCTAAGCTCGCTCAGTCCCCACGTGGTCACGCTGGCCAAAGTCTGCAGCCTCCTCGCCATCGGGAAGGCTCTGCCCAAAGAGTACTTAGTGAGCATCCCCTTCCGTACACCCAGGACCTCCCTCTCTTCCTGGTTTGCTGTTGCTGTTCCCTCAGAAATGCAGGGCCCGGCCTCGCCTCATCACCAGGTGGCCCTGGCCATCCCCAGCTCTGCCTTTCGAGCTCATTCGGCGGCTCCTTCCAGACTGGCCACCTCTCTTCGCGCCCGGCCTCCTGGTCTCCCGCCTGCGCGGGCCGCTCCCGGCCCTCCCCGCCCTGCCGGGCGTTCACTGTCCCCTCCGCCCGCAGGTCCCGCGGCGCCCCCGGAGCCCGCCTTCCCGGACATCTACGGCGGGGACGCGCAGCTCTGGGAGGCGCATTTCCGCGGCATCGGGCGCGCCTACCGCGCGCTGGGCAAGCAGGACGACTTCGCCATCCGCGTGCTCACCGAGAACTTCACGCTGCCCTTCCCGTTCGCCTGGCCGCCGGGGTCCGACCCCGCCTGCGGGCCGCTCTTCTACGACCCCCGCGACCGCGCAGACTTCGACTTCCTGCTGCGCGGCCCCGGAGCTTCGCCCCCAGCGCTGCTGCGGCCCCTGCACGCCACGGCCCAGGCAGCGATGCGCAAGCGGCGCCTGGAGCGGCTGGCCCTGAGCTGCGCCCGCGCGCGGGGCCCGGGCCCGGCCTCGTCCTGCTGCTGCCCGGCCCCGCCGCCGCCTTCCCGGAGCCCGAGGCCAGCGCTTCCAGCGACGGCACCCCCAGGCTGGCCCAGGCCCCGCCGCTGCCCCGAGAGCGAACAGAATAAATAAAGAGTTTCCCCAGCTCTCCCGCGCCCGGCGCTTTTCTGCACACACTCCGACAGGCCTGGGCGGCTGGGCCCGGCGGGGAAGGGGGGCGGTGGGACGGTGGGACGGTGGACCAGGAACCCAACTGGGACACCGGGCCAGGCCGGGCAGCGGTGGGCCTGGGAAGCCGCATGGGTCCGAAGGTGCAGTGAACATATTCGCAGTAGAAACGGTGACGGAGGCAGGCCCTCTTCAGAGGGAGGAGGACCCGGGTACGGTGGGTGGGGGGGCCGGGCCTCCACCCTCAGTGCCCACGCCCTGGGACCCTCCCCACAGCTCTGCGGTGGGGACTAGCGTCCCCATCCCACAGACCAGCATACCAAGGCCCCATGCCTCCAGGGAACAGCTGGGATTTAGTTTGCCACATGCAGACACCAAGTCTGGCAGCTTTCCCGTTTCCCATGATAGAGGGGGCAGCAGGATGGGGAGGGGGCCGGGAGAAGGGGCGACGCAGCAGAACAGAGGAAGAGAAAGGAAAGGAGTGGAGAGCATGCGTGGGGCAGAGAGACGCGAAGGAGGGGGCACCACAAGGCACCTGCCCCTCACTTGCTGCCTCCCCCTTCCTGGTCCTTGGGGAGGGGCTGCCTCCTGCTTCCCCCGTGTGGGGCTGAGAGAGTCTGTTGAGCCCAGCATGGCCAGCAATGACCTGGCCTCTGCCCTGGACCACCTCCCTCTGCAGGTGACAAACCCCTGCCAGAGGCCTGGCTCTGCTGTGGGCCCGCTGGTGGCAGGGCGGGACGACGGCATGACCCCGATATCTCCTCCTCCTCCTCCCCACAGAACACCAAGCAGGGAGGCCAAGTGGCCTTCAGGAGAGGTGCCATGGTCTCACGCTGGGAGCTTGCAACCCAGGCGTGCAGGGGAGACCACATCAAGTGCAGGTGGAATCCGGGTGTTTTTTTTTTTTTCTTTTCTTTTTTTCCCGAATCCAGGAGTTATTTATCACATGCCAGTCATGGGGAGAAAAGGTTTTTCCAAGCCCTGGTTTTGCTGAAGAAGCAGTTGTGGATGGGAACAGTCATCTCTGGAGAAGGAGGAAACCCTGGGCTGGGAAGAGGCATCTCCAGCCTCCCCCTCCTCTGCTGCCACCGGCCCCAGCTGAGACGCCAGCCCCTGCTCCAGGCTTCTCCCACCTGGGGCCTTGTTTCTTCAGTTCTACAGATGCACAGTTACATTGCAATAATAACCATGCGTTTGAATCCTGACGGGGCAGCAGCAGTAATGACATTAGGTACTATATATCCTATATTGCGTATGAATTGGGGTCCCCAGAAGCAGTCCCTGAACATGGATTTTGGTGCGAGTGGTTTGTTTGAGACGTGGTCCTTGGAAACACAGGCAGGGAGTGAGGACGCAGGACAGGCAGGGAAAGAAGCCAGGAAGGGTGCAATGGGAGCAAGTTACCCCTGTGGGCACTGGAGGTCAGTCCTATGGGGGACCCCTGGGAGACAGTGTGGTGCGTGCCCCGGAGCTGTCCCACCCAGGGAGAGTGGCACCAAGCACTACTACCTCCTTGTCATCACTGGCAGTTTGGCTTACCTGTGGGGTATGCATCCAGCTCCCCTGAAAACAGCAACTAACAGTGACCACTGAGAAATGTTTATAACAATTCGATGAGTAATTTTATGACTGGAGAGTGTAACAAGATAAATGTGGGGTTTATACTTTGTGCTTTTTAAAACTACATTTTTCTAGAAATTTATTTTTAAAGTAGTTTACAGCAGTGTGGGGCTGTGTCAGATTGGAAACAAAAACCTTGGTCCTTCACCACTGCTAGCATGGGAAGCTTGGTCTAGGGAACCCAGACCCAAGGCAAGTAATCAAATAGGAAACAAACACGGTGAAGAAATGCAGTGAGTACTGTGAAGGACATGAAGAGACTGACTGTACTTCAAATAGGGTGGTCAGAGAGGCGAGTCACCCTGGAGAAGGCGGCGTTGAAGCTGAGGATGGAAGGATGAGGAGCAGCCAGTTATATGGACATTGGGGAGGACACTTCAGGCCAAGGGGGCCGTGTGGGCAAAGGCTGGGGAATGAAACAGAGCTTCAAGGGTCAAAGAATGGGAACCAGGGCTCTTTCAAGCTGGAGCAAATGGAGCAGTATGTTATTTGAAGCTCTGACTGGCTTAAACCACAAAAGGGACTAAATGGTTCATGTAATTGGAACATTCAGAAATAAGATGAGCTTCAGGGAAGGTTTGATCCAGGGGCTCAGTGTTGTTATGGAGGCCCAATCTTCTGTGATGCCAGTTCTACCCTCAGACTAGTTTCCTCAGTAGTGGTAACATGGTAGATGCAGCTCCTGACTACACAGTCTGCCTGGCCACTGAGAAGGCCAGAGGCCACTGGCTTCCATGAGCTGTCTCAGATGAGCAGCTGTATGTCCTGCAAAGCCCTGGGAGTCTCCTCACATGACCCATGGGTCTGGTTGGGTCATGTGCCCAATCCTGAACTATCCCTGCGGCCGAGGGAGTAGCATGCATTGATTGGCTTAGGCCTGTATTGCCTGAATCTGTGGCAAGGGGGTAGGGTGACATTGGCTGGATTGTGACAATAAGGTCCAGAACACTGTGTGGCCCACAGTGGGGGAGCTGACCTCCATGTCCAGCACCGCCAAGTGGTATGAACCCTGGGATTTGCTCCAGGGCTGACTTCTGCTAAATCTCATGACTTCCTTCCAGTTAGACCGGCTGCTCCCACAGAAAAGCATGGTCAGAAACGACCCCAGGCTGGAGTCTCTGTCTTTTGTGTAAAGCAGAGTCGATAATCTGTTTTCTCAGCATCTGTTCTGTGCTGTGCCTGATGCTGAGGCTGGGCATTCACGGAGGGAAGATGCTTCCTGCCTCCAGGAGCTGGCAGATGGAGGGCTGGGAGGGTGTCAAGACAACAGACTGCCCGCATTGCCCCTTGAACAACAGCCTGGGCAATTCCTCCTAGGACTCAGTTTCCCTGCTTCCCTCCATCACACAGAGAGAGCCAGGTAGCCCTCATATTGCCCTTTTTGCTATGGCTGCTGGGATGCTCAAAGCACATTTGTGCCCCATTGTTCTGACCTTCCCAGGCTTGCCATTTTGGGGCAGCTTGCCCGTCTGCTCTGGATTTGTGGTCCCCTCCAGCTGCCTGGCTTTTTTTTTTTTTTTTTTTTTTTTTTTTTTTTTTACAATGCCTGGATTATAATTGTAAGAATGATGCTTCAATTATTTTTGGAAAGTGGGGGGAAATACCTTTTTTGTAAAGTCACGGATTCCAGCTCTGGTTGGCAGCAATTCACCCCCGAGCTTCTTCCCACTGACCTGCCAGGAGACTCTGCCATCTTTTCTGAACAAAACCCGGTGGCCTATGTGGAAATACCGTGGCTATTTCCTTGGGAGCCAGCCACTGTGTCGTTGGGCCCTGGTGCCACTGGGGTGGGCAGGGGCTACAGCACGGGCTCTGGGAGGTGACAGAACTTGGCTTGCGTGCTGGGTCCTCCACCCACTGACCGGGCAGCCCTCAGCCGCCACTGCTGATTTTCGTGCCTTAGTCCTCAGCTGTGAGGGGGAACACAGCAACAGGACCTCTGGGGAGCTGCTGAGGGGATCATGAGAGAGACTGTTGGTCATGCCCCCGATCCCAGCCTGGCACGGTGAGAGCCCAACAGAGAGAGGGCAGCTGTTTCTCCATGATGGGCCGCACTCCCTGCCCTATATGCAGGCTGGCACAGACACCTTCCCCAGGGCTAAGGGGGGCCATCAGCTTTTCCCCAGCACCAGCTGGCCCTTGTGCTCAGAGGGTTCTGGAATCAGAAGCAGACATGTTCCCCCTCTTTGCAGCTGTGTGGCCTTGGACAAGCCTCTTGACCTCTCTAGGGTACCATGTCCTCACCTGTAAAACGGGAGTCAGAAGCATGTCTGGTGTACAGCCTCGATGAGCTGGTGCAACCAGCCGGGGACCTGCCCATGCAGTGTTCTGTAAATGTGGCTATTACTTGTTCCCTTGTCTGGCCACCCCTCCTCTGTCCAGAGAACACAGTTGCCTTGCAGGGTGCCTCTTATCCTCCCTGGAGCCATCTCTTCGGCTCAGCCCAGAACACACCAGCCTCGATAGGGAGCTGGAGTTGCCAAGGGCACAGCAAGGGCATGCTGTTTGACCTGTTCCATTCCCCGTAAGGCGCTGCTCCGAGAACCAGGATAGGCACGCAGGAGGTGCTCAGTATTTTCTGAATAGGCCAATGTGATCTGGGAGATAAGCTTGCTGAGCAGAGGGGCTGGGGCCTCCTGGGGCCCTGCTCATTCTGGGTGCAGGCGGAGCCCCAGAGGGAGGGCAGGAATCCGGGGTGTTGGCTGGAATCGGGAGGCCAGGTTCTTTCCACCTCCCCAGCTGTCCCCGGAGACTTCATACCCTTCGATATTCAAAGGAGACGGGTTCCTCCTTTGATTCTGGGGCCGCTGGGGATGGGGTCAGGTACGCCCCTCTCCTTGCCCCTGCTCCAGTTTCCTGGGAACGGACTCTGAGGAGCAGCGAGGATGTTTAATTAATTGCAATTACTATCTTCAAAGGAAGCCCAGAGTTGAAAGTTGTTCCTAATTACTGTGTTATGATGTCGACCAGCTACTTAAATTGATTGTGTGAGAATTTCCGATGGAGAATTGATTGAGTTGCTGTGAGGACCTACTCTATGTCCCTCCCCTTTAGATGTTTGGCCTAGGCAAAGGCGTGTGGGGCTGGAATGACAACGAGGGCTGGGACCCGGGCGGCAGCTGCCTAGATGAAGACCTCGTCGCCAAGGTCGGGGCCGCGGGCTCGGTGTGATGGCCCGTGGAGTCCATCATGCGCTTTCTCTGCTGGCCTCTGGCACTTCGCAGGGGGCGCTGCTCCTCCTGGCTCCTGCAGTGGGTGAGGTCAGCAGGTGACCAGTGCTGGCCGACGAGTTGTGGGCACAATGACGTCTGTCACTTCTGGGTCAAAGCATTTATGGCCAGTGTGAGAGCCTCTGAGCTCTCTTTCTGTCTGCCACCACAGGGTGTGCTCAAGACAGTGGCTCCTTCACCACCCGAGTCCTGGGCTGGCCCAAGGCGGGGGACCTGCGGTGTGAGTGAGAGGCGAGCCGTCGTGATGCCAGCCCCTGAGAGTTTGGGAAGGCTTTCTTACAGTGTCATCTAGCCTCTCCTGACCAGCACAGGATCCAGCAGGCAGGCCCGGCTGTGTAATGTGCAGGCCCAGTGTGAAGTGAAATGCAAGCCCACCGTGGGAAAATTAGTAAGATTTGGCACAGCAGGGGCAGCACGCTAGAGCCAGCTGGGGCCTTCTGAGCACGGGCCGTCTGTGACCACTCAGGTTGCCTCCTGTGCCGTCATCAGCTCTGTTGCAGGCCCAGGTGTCCTTTGGGGTCTGCAGGTGTGGATGTGTGGCTTCGGCTGAGTGGCTTTCTTCCTCTGTGCCTCAGTTTCCTCATCTGTGAAATGGGAGGCTGTGGGGCCCGAATGGGATGGGGCAGGGGTGTGACCGTGCTTCAGGGGGCGCAGGGAGGATGAGTCAAGGTGACTCACTTTCCTCCTGTCCTTCTGCCTGCAGGAGGAAGCTTCCTCCCTCAGCAGGTGGTCACCTATTGCATTTCAGACACGGGTCTCTGGCCTGGGACCCAGTGGGAGCCCCTGCCTTCCCGAACGAAGATGGAGCACAGGGTATGGGGGAGTGTGTGCCATCTCAGTGAGAAAAGTGCCTTCGAGGGCATCAAGCAAGCCTGAGGGCGGAGGAGAGGGGCATCCTTTCCCGCTGGATGGCAGGGAGGCCTCCCTGAGAAGGCACACTGAGCAGAGGCCCCAGGGAAAGGAGGGCTCTGTGGAGGTAGACAGTTGCGGGTGGGGAGCCCGGGCAGAGGGAACACCAGCGCAGGAATCTGGAGGCCAGAGGGAGGCCCGAGCCTCCAGCCCACGAGGGCAGAATAGGAGGATGCGGCGGCTCCCGGGACCCAGGCCTGACGGAAGGAACTCGGACTTGTCCTCTGGGTGGGTCTGGAGCCAAGAAATGCCATGATCTCATTCATGCATTAGAACAAGCATTCCCAAGGGGGTGGTCTCAGCCCCAAGGGAAGTGTTTGGTTCTTGGGGCATGAAGAAATCTCACTGTTTATGTAGAAAGCCCAGATACTTACACGGCACATAAACAGACGCATATTTGTCTGTGGTTCTAAAATTCCATGGTGGGCGGGCAAATTAAAAAAAAAAACAGCCTATAAACGTTCCTTAGGTTAGGGGGCAGTGATAAAGAAAGCAAGTTTGAGATGCTGATCTGGAAGGATCGTTTCACCGCCATGGGCTGGAAATAGGTTTGGGGGCAGAGGCAGGAGGCGTTCAGGGCTGTCGTGAGGAGCCCTGCCAGCTCACTTGCTGGGTGGGTCTGGCGGTGTCAGCGGCGGTAGAGAAGTGGGTGGATTCGGGGGTCCTCTGGAAGGGGGAGCCAGTAGGGATTCCTGAAGGGTAGACACAAACTCGGAGAGAGAGAGGGTCAGGACGGCAAGGCTGGGGCCGGGGCGGCGGGAAGGGTGAGGTTTCTGTGCACTGAGATGGGGCTGCTGGGGCTGTCTGGGGAGTCCGAGGTGCCCAGGGGCAGGCGGTGGGCTCAGTACACGAACGCTGCGGGCAAACAGGCCGGGGGAGGAGCGAGGACCTGCCTGCTGATGGCACTTGAAGCGCCCCTGGAGAGGTGCGCTTGGAGCCCCTGATCATGGCAGGCCCTCAGGCTTCTCATTTGCAAAATGGGGCAGCTGACTCTTGGTCCTGGGTGGGTTCCCATCCCTGGGGTGGGGCTGGAGTTGCTGAGGCCCATTTCAGGCCCGAAGGCTGGGCTGTTCCTGGGAAGTGATGAGTGCCCTCTAGCCCTTTCATTACTGGACGCTACCTAGCCCTGAAATGCAATCCAGAAGCGGGGGTACCCTGTCTTCTCTCTGAGCCCAGGAGGGATGTCAGGGACAGATGGAGGCCCGGGCGGGGAGGCTTCCAGCAGGCCCTGCCCTGTGCCACCGAGAATGTGGCATATGGAGGCTTACAGGCTATTCTGACATTCAGGCACCCTCTGGGCCTCATGTGGGCCCCATGAGAGGTGGGTGGATCAGCTGGCTCCAGAGTGATGGCAGGTCAGGGGCAGGCATGAGAACACCCCAGCCCCAGACCTGGTGGATCCCGTCATCCCCCCATTTCGCAGTTGGGGAAACTGAGGCACACAGCAATGGCAGGCGGAGAGTGACACTGCAGGTTTCTAGTCCCAATGTCCATGCTGCTAATGACTGCCCTGTGGCCTGGCTGGATCCCCCAACTTCTCTGAGCTCTGGTCTCATCTGTGGAGTGGGGTGATGGGCACCACTGTCAGAAGATCACTGGGGATTACGGAAGAAGACGCGTACTGTGTGTGTGCCCAGCCCAGCTTAGACCACAGGGCTGACCGGGTCTCCCCCCGTCATCAGGGCTTGGGTCTGATGCCCAAGGTGCCTGTGTCCATGACTGTGGGGCCACCCTGGGGTGGGCCTCAGCACTCTGAACCCAGCCCTGCCCTTGATCATTGGCTACCTCATGCCCTGTGCCCAGTCCCAGGCCAAGGGCTTTGGAAAACATCCCAGGGAGCTCCCCACTCCCTCATTCAACATGTTGGTTCCAAATCCATGAATATGCAATTGTTGCCCACCCCCCTCCACAGAACTTCCTCCACTTCTGCAGCCAGCTTCAACATTAATCACAGATAATTGCTAGCGGGAGTCGTTTATGTCAAGAGCCATTATTCCTGGGAATAAAGAGACATAAAAGACAGATCCTTTTTGGAAGCCCGGCGTCGCCTGGGGAGGAACAATGCCAGACCCGGAAGAGGTCCCTGGCCGGCCCCGGCCCACTTCCAGCAGCTCCAAAATGCATGTGACAAACTTGAGGCCCCGGCCTTTGCTGCGTATTCTGTGAGATGAGTCCATCCGTCATGTTCACGCGCTTCTCTGAAGTTGTTGTGAGTTTCCTTGAAACCATGAGGGTTTTTTTCTTTTTTCCTTTTTTTGGCAACAACAGCTGGGAATAAGTTGACACTTTCTAAAAACTGCCACTTACCGCCCGGAAGGGGCTGAGGGAAAGACACCCCATGTGTGCCAAGTCCCCAGGCCCAGAGCTGAGCTCACATGCCAGATCCTGTCCGTCCTCAGCATCTCCAGGGTGGGCGGCCTCCAGGGTTTTCAGGAGGTCAGTGGGGAGAGCAGTCTGGGTAGGAGGAGGTACGGGGTTGAGTTTTATCCACAGGCTTTATCTGTGGGCATTATCCACGGACATTATCCCTTGGGCTCTGGGCCGGGCTCCCCTCACAGGACCCAAGGACAGATTGAGGGGAAGGTAGAGAGGAGTTTCTGCATGTTGTTCATGTTTAACACTGCTTCTATATTTTCATTTTTATTGCAATAGGTCATAAATCAGTTTATTACCTGGAATATCTGGTTGTTATTTTCTTATAATCAAACACCACGTCTGTCTGTGTCTGTTGATACTGACTGCGGCCACACACGAGGCATGGGAACAATGGCTGTGCGGAGCTCTGGGCCCTCTGTGCTTGTGCACATGTTTGCTGGTATCCGGTGCACGTGCATGCATGCTTCGCACATGTGTAGATGTGTGCACCTGTGCATGCATGCAGGTGTGCACATCGTTTGCTAGTGTGTGTAGATGTGTCGATGGCAGTACACATGCACACCTGTGTGTGAGTGCCTCGTGTGTGTGTGTCTCTGGGTGCCTGCGCTCGCTGTGGTTTCTGTACATGGGTAATAGAAAGCTCTTGTAATTCTGGAAGCCCCATGCCTGCCTTGCCCCCTCTCTGTGTCAGGAACTCTTTGAGCTCTGTCATTTTATGCATATTCTACTGAGGGGGAAACTGAGGCTGAGAGGGTTCAGAGGACCTGCCGGCTCGGACATGGCTTGGGTTTCTGACTGTAAGTCTCATCTATGTCCATAAGGACCCCCTGGGAAGGACAGCGGTGGCTGCGTGGTGGATTGGAGCAGCAGGCAGGACACCGTGTTCTGAGGCCCCTCCTGTCTTTGTTGCCTTGCTTCCTGGTTGGTCTCACTGCGATTCTCACCAGCCCTGCTTCCAGTGCCCACTCCTACCACACCCTTCACGACCAATGCTGTGGTCCTTCTCCCCTTCAAGAGCCTCTGGCTCCTACTTCAGTGGTTTCCTGGCCATGCACCTCTGAGCTCCACAAATGGCCCAAAGGCAAAATGAGACTTGCAATCCTCCCTGAACTGGCTTCCCCCGCTGGGCCTCTCCCAAGATGGCCCTGCCATCTGTGCAGCCAGACAGTGGGGAGTCTTCCGGTTCTCCCACCCCTACCCACCCCCGCCAGGAGCCTGCTTACCTCCCCACTCTTCCTTCTCTCTCCCTCTCTGTGGCTCAGATGGTCCCTGACCACACATCCTCACGCTGGCACACCTCCTCCTGGAAGCCTCCCCAGATCCTCCCCACACTCCAGGCTGGGGATCCCCCGGGCTCGTCTCAGCACCTGCCATCACTCTGTGTGACTGCCACTCTGTTCATCTATTCCCAGCAGGGTTGAGTCTCATGGGCCTGGATGCACAGGGCCAGACGCAGAATGCTCTGTGGTCACCAAGGTGACATGAGATGTCAACTAGAACTCAGGATGAACTGGATCCTGACCTCTCCAGCCCCATGTCACTGGGGGATGACAGGCAGGTTTCATGCTGTGTGCTGCTGCTGGTTCTTGGGTGTGGGCCTCCTCCGGTGATGTGTTGAGAAAGACCCTGAAGTGAGTTCTTGGCTCAGTCAGGCATGCACTCTGATGGATTGGTGATGTCTGCCATGGTGTGGAGTGGGCAGAGGAGGGAGGAGGGAGCAGGGGAGAGCAGGGAGAAACACAGAGGAAGAGGCATGGAAGGTGAGGAGACTGAGGGAAGCTTCCAACCCGGGCCTGTGTGGGGCTGACTCTGCCTCTCCTCTGGCTCAGAGCTGCATGGGCGTGGGAACTCCCTCAGCTCAGCTGGCAGCAGGGCCCTGCCCTGGCAGGCCTGGAGCCCAAGAACCAGCAGGTTTGGCAAAAAGCCCCCGAACCCCAGCAGGCCACCCGCCCAGCCCGGGGGGACTCAGGACCCCTCCCCAGCCTCAGCTGGAGCGCCCCAGGTGAACTGTTGAAGTGTTCCTGGAACAGTTTGAAAACATTTTCCCTGTCTCTCTTGTAAGCCTCCTGAAGGGTGGGCTCTTGCCCCACCCCACCTAGCCCTGGGGATGGTGTCTCTTGGTGAACACCCTGCAGCAAGACAATGACCGCCTTCCTGACCCTGGCTCCCGTCCACCAAATGCTGAGGCTGCCCTGCTGCGTCCTCCTCCCTGCCTCTAGGCACTCCCTGGAGACAGCCTGGGCCCAGAGTCAGAAAAACTCAGGTTCACACCCAGGCTTCTTCTCTTATTAGCCGTGTGATTCCAGGCAGGTGGCTCCTTCCCTCCAAGCCTCCATACCCTCATCTGCAAAATGGAGGTGCCATGAACTGAGGTGAGGCGAGCTGAGTTGAGGTGTACCTGGGACCCCAGGGTGCTTGGGGAGCTGGTGGGAAAGTCAGTCTTGCCGTCCTGCTGGGAATCTCCAGGTCTCCAGGCGTGTTAGGCCACCTTCGCGATGCTTCGGAGGCTCAGCTAAGGACCAGATGGTGTTTTGAGCATTTCAATAAGAGCTATTTGCAGTGTTGCTGCCATAAAAAAAAATTCCTGCTTAATGAGCAAATGCACGTTGGTATTGAGTTAAAGGCGCTTGGATGTTTTAAATATTATGTACGTCGTGTTCGTGTTAACAAACCTGATTTTTAATTACACCTTCCCCTGCTGCCTGGCTGGGCTGAGGGTAGGGGAGGGGAAAAAAATCAGGCAAAACAAGTGTGTCTTGCTGTCAGAAACGACAGGCAGTTTCTCCGGATCTGTCCTCTGCAGACATTGCTCTGATGGCACACGCAGTACTGGAGCTTGGCGGGGGTACAGGATGGCTCCTACCTTGCTAACCCTTATTTTGCACTCCCAGCCTGAGCCCTGACCCTGGTTGAACATTGAGCCTAATCCTGGTCATGTACTGAGCTCCTATCCCCGGTCATACTTGGAGCTTTGAGCCCTGACCCTGGCCACACACCGAGCCCTGATCTCATTCACATACTAAACACTGACCCTGGTCGTAGACTGAGTCATGACTTCAGGCATAGGCTGAACCCTGATTCTGGGCACTAACTGAGTCTTGACACTGGTTGCAAACCCAGCCCATTTCCTGGTCATAATCTGAGCCCTGATCCCAGCCATGAACTGAGTCTTGATCATGTTCAGAGACTAAGCCCTTAGACATGTACGGAAGACCTCAGCTCCCTTCACCGGTGGCCCCAAGGGGAGGCAGATGTGGTGGGTCTGAGCATGCAGGAAAGGCCTTGTGTGCCCGGACTAATGGTGTGGACCTCAGGGACAGAGGCGCGGCGCTAGGCTCCTTTGCTGATGGCGGAGACATGATCCTTGGCTTCCCAGTCACCAGGTGTGACATGGAGATGCCCCTTTCCACATTCTGTCCACAGCTTCCCTGCCTCTTTCCCAGTGAGGACCTTGTGGTCTCATTGCAGAAATGAGAGAGAGGGCTTGTGCTATGGTCCTGTGTCTGCTGGGAGCTCCTCCTACCAGATCCCTCCACCCGTCTCTTCCTTTCACAGTGATAAAGTGGGGGCTGTGGGAGGTGAAGTGACTTGCCCAGGGTCCCACGGCTGGTGCCCTGCAGAGTCATTGGCTTCGAAAGCCTGCAACAGACAAACAGAAGGGGCCCCAGGTCCTTAGGGCCAGTGGATGTGGGAGTGCTGGGGAAGCCCCACGGAGAGTGACCCCACCCCCCTTGAGGACAGGTGGCTGCATTCACAGAGACGGTGATGGTGGGGATGCGTCCTGCCTTCGCTCTAGCCCAGCCCAGGCTCCAGCCCCATCACCCTCATTCCAGGGAGAGGGTGAAAGCTGCGCCCAGGGACAGAGCCAAGACGCAGGCCCAGACAGCTCACTCTTCCCCTCAGCCCCTCTGCCCACTTGTGCACACTGTCTTCATTCTATTTCCTTTAGCTGGGCCCCTCCACTGGGAAAAGATGAAACGTCTTCTCAGATCCAGTTCAAAAGACTCCCAGGGAAGGTCCCTGCTTGGTCCACACTGGGTCATGCGCTCACACCCTGGACCAATCAGCTGCTGTTGGGCCAAAAGGCTGCTGTGATTGGCAGCTCCACGGAGCCTCGTGGTTGGGGGCTGCCCCGCCCCAGCAGGCCAACTGCCTGGGAGGGGCACAGGGAGCCTGGGGGAGGGGCATGCGACTGCCACGCGCTCCCTTCACAGGGAGCACCGCTGGCCAGGGACAGCGCAGTGCTGGGGGCACTCAGGGTGGCCTTTTTTTTTTTTTTTTTTTTTTTTGAGACAGAATCTCGCTCTGTCGCCCACGCTGGAGTGCTGTGGCGCGATCTCGGCTCACTGCAACCTCCGACTCCCTGGTTCAAACGATTCTCCTGCCTCAGCCTCCAGAGGAGCTGGGACTACAGGTACCGCCACCACGCCCGGCTAATTTTTGCATTTTTAGTAGAGACGGGGTTTCATCATGTTGGCCAGGATGGTCTCGGTCTCCTAACCTCGGGATCGGCCCGCCACGGCCTCCCAGAGTGCTGGGATTACAGGCGTCAGCCACTGCGCCCGGCCGGCTTGGCCGTCTTTATGGTTGTACAGTGCCACTTTGATTTTGTGGCAATCATGAAAATATTAAATTAATAAAACCATCATGCTGCTTATAGATTTTAATGTCATATTTGTGAGTTTTTGCCCGGAGATAAGCTGCAGCAATAAATGCGATTAACTCCTTATGAAGTCTTCTACTTACATTTTTCAAAAAGTGATGCTGATTTTCGACTGGGGACTGCAGAGAGCCTGGAGCCCTGTCACGTCCCTGCGCTTCCCCCCTTACTGCGTCAGAGTGCGTCAGAGCTGCGAGGGAACCTCACGATCCGCATGTGAAACCTGCTGCTTCCCAGAAAGGAGGTGGGGGCCAGAGGAGGCCGGGGACCTGCTGAGGCAGCACAGCCCCTCAGAGCAGGGGCAGGAAGGCAGGTCCCCTGAGTCCCAGGCTGCCTGTCCCGTGCCTGTCCACCCTCACAAGCACTGGCCTGTCACATCCCAGAGATGCCAGCCTGCACGTGATGGTTAATGCTGAGTATCAACTTGATTGGATCGAAGGATGCAAAGTATTGTTCCTGGGTGTGTCTGTGAGGGTGTCGCCAAAGGAGGTTAACATTTGAGCCAGTGGACTGGGAGAGGCAGACCCACCCTCAGCGTGGGCACCATCTAATCAGCTGCCAGCATGGCTAGAATAAGGCAGGCAGAAGAACATGGAAGGACCTGACTTGCTGTCTCCCGGCCTTCATCTTTCTCCCGTGCTGGATGCTTCCTGCCCTCGAGCATCGCACTCCAGGCTCTTCAGCCTTGGGACTCTTGGACCTTCAGCCACAGACTGAAGGCTGGACTGTTCGCTTCCCTACTTCTGAGACTTTGAAACTTGGACTGGCTTCCTTGCTCCTCAGCTTGCAGACGGCCTCTTGTGGGACCTCACCTTATGATTGTGTGAGTTGACTCTCCTTATTAAACCCCCCTTTATATATACATCTATCCTATTGGTTCTGTCCCTCTAGAGAACCCTGACTGAGGAACAGAGGACGCGCCGGACCCTTCTTTGCCCAAGAACCTTCAGTAGCTCCCAAAGCTCAGAGGAAGAAGCTAGTGTTGCTAAACTCGGCCCCTGGAACTAGGTCCTTCCTTCGCCCCCAGAATGTTCATGGGTCTCTTCTTCCTCCAGGGAATCTTTTCTTCCAACTGGAGTGGTTGACATCTGTTGATGAATGCATGTTTGTGAAATGAGAGTGTGAGTGAATGAGTGTCCTGCATAGCTATTTGCCTAGCACGTTGGCTGTTAGATTCCCTGATGTGCTGGCTGCAGTGGCTCATGCCTGTAATCCCAGAGCTTTGGGAGGCCAAGGCAGGAGGATGGCTTGAGGCCAGGAGTTCAAGACCAGCCTGGGGAACATACCTAGACTTTGTCTCACAAAGAATTAAAACATTATCTTGGTGTGGTGGCGTGCACCTGTGGTCTCAGCTACTTGGGAGGCTGAGGTGGGAGCATGGCTTGAGCCCAGGAGTTCAAGGCTGCAGTGAGCTGTGATTGTGCCACTGCACTCTAGCATGGGTAACAGAGCAAGGCTCCATCTGTAAAACTAAGAGCACAAAACAAAAACAAACCCAACCAAATAGATTCTGAAATCTGAAGATCCTAAGATGCGTGGGGGTCACATTGATGGAGACGCCCCGCACCACCATCTATGACCCTTACTTGCCGCTCCCACTGTCCCCTGGAATGGGTTTGGGTTGTTGGAATGCACCCTGCTGTACCCTGCCCCCTCCTTCCTCCAGGCATTCACCCTTGCTGTTTTCTCCACCAGGAACAGCCTTCTTTCTCTTCTTTGAGAATTCCTACTGATTCTCAAGTCCCAGCTTGGATACCATTGGGGGCCATGGTGTCTCTGGCCAGTGGCTGGGTAGGCTCTGTGTCCCGCGGGACCCTGAGGGGACTCCCTGACGTAGCACTTGCGTGCTTCTCTCTGACTGCTGGTGTCTGTCTCCTGCCAGGCGGTGTGTGCCCTGGGACAGCTGCCTCTCCTTCTGCTCAGTATCCACAGGAATAGTAGCACCGACACCACCATTGTCAGCTCCCCAAGGCAGCTAGCCACATGCCTGGCGCTCTGTATGGGTTTTGGAGCTCCTCCTTTCTACTGAGGGCCACCATTTGGTGACCTCAGACTGCATAATTTTCAGTGAAGGAATGGACAAAGGCACGAGAAACTTGCAAAAGTTGCCAGGTAGTGGGAGCGACTGCTCTAGATGGCCCCTCTACCCCAGCCTCAATCTCAGCACGGCTGCTATCAGCATCCCAGGGCTGGAGCTTTGGGCAGGGGTCTTTTCAAGAGGGGGACCCCAAGAGGAGTGGCTCCGCAGGAGACTGGGCAAGTCAGCCTTGGGATGGAGCTGTGCAGGGAGCCAGGAGCCAGCCAATGGAGGTGGTCCCTGGGCAGGACATGGAAAGACCCCACCACCATGCCAGGGTTGAAATGTTTTTGACGTGCCTGACATGGCCAAGAAATTAGGACGTGCTGTCAGCTGGATGGACTGGATTGGGGTGGGCTGGATGGGGTGGGCTGGATTGGGATGGGCTGGATTGGGGTGGGCTGGGCCCAGCAAAGCACCTGAGCTTGGGCTCCCAAGATACTTTCAGGGCATCTGCAAGTTCAAAATTGTTTCAGCAAGAATACTCAGATGTTGGTGTCTCTTGCTGTTTTCCCCGATGGTGCAAAAGCAATGACCAGTATTGCTGCGGATCTGCAAGCACCGATCTCCGCAGTGGTCCCAATGCTGCTTGAAGGCGGGCGTGGGTTCTGCCGTGCCACACGCTTGCAAAACTCCCAAGCCCCAAAACAGTCAGTTTCACCTAGGACTGTCTTTGATGAAGCACAGAAAATACTTTTTATTAAATCATGACCTTGAGGCTGGGCGTGGTGGCTCACGCCTGTAATCCCAGCACTTTGGGAGGCCAAGGCGGGAGGATCACTTGAGGCCAGGAGTTTGAGACCAGCTTGGCCAACGTGGTGAAACCCCATCTGTGCTAAAAATCCATCCAAAAATTAGCCGGGTATGGTTGGGCGCCTGTAGTCCCAGCTACTCAGGAGACTGAGGCATGAGAATCACTTCAACCCAGGAGGCAGAGGTTGTGGTGAGTTGAGATCACGCTACTGCACTCCAGCATGGGCAACAGAGTGAAATGCATTCTTCTCCCTGGGACGCTGTCTTCTCCTCTGGAACATGGGATGGTTGTAACTTCTTCACAGGTGTCCTCTGAAGACCGAAGAGTGTTTGTAAAGTGCCTGGCATTTGTAGAGGTTCTAAACCTGGCACCAGTTATTGCTGGGAATGATCATTTTCCTGCAAACCTAATGAAATATGTCCCAATGTGTCTGTTTTTGAGAGGGGGAAACTGAGGTTTGGGGGAACTGATCTGTCCAGGGTTACCTAGCAAGGAAGGATTCCAGCTGGGCTGTTTTACCCTCTAGGGCTGCCTGGCACCCCTCCTCCCACTGGTCCTCCTCAGACCCCACCACAGGGTCCTCCCACCCAGGTGGCTATACCCCCACCCTGGCCTGCAGCTCAGGCCTTGGCAGAGCCAGTTTCTCAGGGCAACCCCCTATCTGGAGCTGGCTTCCTGGCCGTTGTCATGGGAACTGCTTCCTTGTTGCCAAATGCTGCTGACCGGGGAAACTGAGTTGGACGGATGGGATGGATGGGACGGATGGAGGGAGGACCGGAGCTGGGTGGGCAGGAAGGAAGAGCCAGGAGGGGAGACAGCTTCTGGGTGGGCCTGGATAGGCAGCACGAGGGGGAGGGGGAAGGTCATCTCTGTCCCATCAATGGGCATGCAGTGGGCACTCGGAGTGAGTCTCTTCAGGGTGCCAGGCAGGAGTGGGTGACCAGAGGGACTGGGGAGGAGGGGGCAGTCAGGGCTTGAGGCAGGCCGCATGGCGGCCTGTAGGTGGGAAACGCTCCCTCTTTTCCTGAGTGAGGGGCTTGACAGTGACTGCCCCCAAGCCTGTGCCTGGAGAACTCCATGGACCCCGGACTCCCTGCAACTTTGGCCAAACTGGGGAGTCTGGGGCTGCTCTCCATAGCCCCGTGGCTGGCCTGACCCCACACTCCTGGGGGATGGGGCTCCTCCTCCTCCCGCTCCCCGACTCAGGCCTGGACACTTGGGGGGGTCTGTGAGGCTGTGGAGTGGAGGCCAGCCAGCCCAGGACACGGGCCCAAGGCAGCCTGTGTGGGTCCAGGGTTCCCGGCCCAGCCCGTCCCTTGACTCGGAGAGTGACCTTGGAGCTTCGCTGCTGTCTCAGCATGGCCTCCATCTCCTGGGCTTTCGGGCTGTGTTTGGGCCTGAAATCTAGCTTCGGGGCCAGTGCCTCTCTTCCCCTGCTGGGATGGGACAGGGCTGGCTGGTCCCTGGATACTGGAGCTGCAGAAACATTTGCTCTCAGAAGCAGAACATGCTGCACAAAAATAGCAGCCTGGTGACGGATCCGCCTGCCGGGAACATATGCTGCCTCGGGTGGGGGCGGCGGGCGGTGGGGAGGGGCGGGGAGGGGCGGGGGCCTCTCTGCTGGAGGCATGGGTGCGCTGGGGTCCCTGTCGTTGGCTCTGGGTGGAGAGGGCCAGGCCAAGCTGCTGCCCGAGGCTCTCCTGGGTGCCAGGTGCTGCCTGTCTGTCCTCAGGGTCGCTCTGAAAGGACCTGCCAGGCAGGTGCTCTTGTCCCTCCCCAGATAAGGACGCCCAGGGAGAGAGGCCTCAGGACTGCCCGGTCACACAGAGGAGGGGTAGAGCCAGGGCTGGCCTGCCTGGCACCAAGGGAGGGGCCCTGCCTTTGGCACAGGTGGGACAGATTCACCCCCTCATGCATTCGCTCATTCATCAGTTACTGTGCTGGGTGTGAATTCTCATCTCACTTCCCTCACTGCGGACCCCTGGTGTCTTACCTGGGCCCTGTGGAGCTCTGCATCCTCAAGCGGAGAGTGGACGCCTCGCCACGAGCCCTGCTGGCCGCACAGGAATGGCACCCTTAGCCTAGTCCCCCATTCCTGCAGGCTGCCTGGAGAGGGGCCGGCGAGGCCTCTCCCCCTCCACCCCCCGTTCTGCCTCACTGGCATGGTGGCATGGACTCGGAGCCGGGCTGCTGGGTCTGCTTCTGGCCCCTGTAATGGATCTCTCTGTGTGCCGTCCATGTCCTCAGCTGTGAGATGGAGGAGTAGTCACCCCACCTTAGTGAGTAGTTGGGATAATCCAACTGGGCCATGGATCTGGAGCCTGAGAACAGGTGGGCTGTTATGACTGTCAGGATCCATCAGCTCCGGGGCACCCACTCAGGGCTGGGCCCAGTTCTGGGGTCCAGAGACTCAGAGTTGAGTTACCTTTGTCAGGCTTTGTCCCCAGGATCTCAGGTCCAGCTGGGGGCCCGACAAGTGAAGGGACATTGGCCGTGCAGTGTGACCAGCCACAGGGCAGGTGAGGTGGACAGCTCCATGGGGGTGTCCTGCGCAGCCACCTGCCTCCCGCCTGGGCGGGATCCTGGCCCTGGGCTGCTCTCCTCTGGCCGTCCCTGTCCCTGGGCAGCTTGGAGGGGAGGCCACGCAGCCCGCACGCCCTTCCCAGCTACCCGGGGCGGGGGCCTGTGAGCACCATGGGCCGGGATCCAGCCTCCACCTGGGCTGGCCTGGGCGGTGCAGGGCTGGGGTGTGCAGGGCTGGGGTGTTCAGTGGTGAGAATCTGTGATGGTCTGAGCAGGGCTGGAGACCTTCCTGGGTTGGTGGGGGTGCTGTAGTGGGTCCCACACCCTCCCCTGCTTCCTGGGTCTCCCTGGGAGTCTGGGAAGTCCTTCTTCCAGTCTATCCCGGCTTCCACCCACCGCAGCTCCAATCAGCCTCCCCTCTGGAGCCTGATTAGGACAGTCAGTTGGAGGGAAGCTGTAGGAGAGGCATCGCCCGGCTGGGAGGGAGGGTGACATGTGGGCTCCCGTCAAACGCGTCCTCCTCGTGCCCGCGCCTGGGCTGTTGAAGAGCAGTTGGGAGCTGGCGTACAGGGTGGAGAGCAGAGCAGCTTCCGTGGGAGAAGGGGCTCTTCTCTGGGCAATAGAGAGACACGGCTCTGCCGCCTCCTCATCCAGAGTGGGGCTGAGGGGAGAATGAGAGGGTCACTTTTTCCCTGCAGAGGAGGCTGTCGGGCAGACAGGGAACTGGCCTCCACCGTCTTTGTCATCATGACGAAGGCCACCCAACCTCCTGCGTCCTCTCCCCATCAGCCCTGCCCTCCCCCTGGGCTGGGTCATGGTCCTGACCTGTGGGCTCAGGTGGCTTCAGATTGTCTCCCTTCCTGGGCATCTCCCAGCCTGGCTTTTGGTGCCCCCAGAAGCCATTTGGAAACAGGATTTCCACATAGGAGGTCAAGTCTTGGAAGCCTGTCAGGCAGAGGGGGTACAGGAGTCACTGAGTTTAGGCTCAGAGTGTCCTCGGATGGATGGGGTGGGAGACACTGTGATCAGCAGGCTGCCCAATTGTAGGGTTGTGGATGGGCCCAGCACGGCCCTCACCATGGCAGATCCAAGAAGGCCCAGCAGGTCAGAGCCTGGCGGGGGCATCTCACAGATGGGGAAACTGAGGCCAGGCGGGGAGAGGTGTCATGTCCAAAGTTGCTGCTTAGGTACAGGTGGCTCTGTGTGGGAGTGGCAGGGAGGAGCTGGGTGGATCTCAGCCCCAGTCCAGGGAGCAGGGCACTTCCCAGAGCTCCTTGACTGCTTCTGTCTCCTCCATCGCACCCCACGGGGGCGTTTCCCTTAGTCTCTGCCTCCTCCATCGCACCCCATGGGGGCGTTTCCCTCACTCTCTGCCTCCCCCATCGCACCCCACAGGAGGGTTTCCCTCACTCTCTGCCTCCCCCATCGCAACCCACAGGAGGGTTTCCCTCACTCTGCCTCCTCCATCGCACCCCCATGGGAGTGTTTCCCTCACTGGTTCTGTTGGTGGCAGTGGCAGCAATCCGAGTCACATGGCACCAGAGTATGTCACGGGTGGCGGATCTGAATGGGGCTGCAGAGCCTCACACTTCCAGTGTCTTGCAGCCCTTCTGCCCTGATGCTTCCCTTGGGATGTGCTGTCCGCACGCGCATGCTTGAACCCAGTCGCCCAGCTCCTGAGTTTTTTTTTTTTTTTTATACTTTAAGTTTTACACTGTTGGTGGGACCGTAAACTAGTTCAAACATTGTGGAAGTCAGTGTGGCGATTCCTCAGGGATCTAGAACTAGAAATACCATTTGACCCAGCTCCTGAGATCTTATCCGGAAGCAGCGGATCACGTTTCAGGTGTTTCCTATCTGTTGGGAGATGGCCTTTCCCTGGCGCCGGCTGTGGCCAATTATTACTTTAGAGAGACAATTAACGACCGCCTGACCATCAGCCGAGGGTTGGCTGACACTTCTGTGTGTGGGGTCCCTCTCCTGCCCTGCCCTACCCGATTAGCTACCCACTGGGACAGTTCCTGGGCTGTCTCCCCGCTGACTCGGTTTCCCAGGAAAGGGTTCTGTGTGATGTTTTCAAACCATGCCCCCGTCCAAGGCCCCTGGCGCAGAGCAGGTGATAGTCAAACAGTGACTGAATGGCCGCTGGTGCGGCTATGTCATGAAGGGCGCAGGGCCAGCTGAGGACTTGGGAGCTGCAGGTTGGTGTGTACACCGTGCCCTACCCCAAGGCCCCTGCAAGCATTGCTCATCAACCACAGCACCGCTTCTCCGGCCCAGGTGCAGGGAGCTTCTCAGTCACCCTCCACGTGGTGCTCCAGGGGGCCTCTCCCCCAGAAGCTTCCTCACACAGTCCTTGGCTGGGGCAGCGGGAGCTGAAGGTGGCGGGACAGGGAGAGACATGGTTGTGTGGGAGCTGTAGGAATGACTGATCTTGGCTGGATTGAGGGCTTCCTGTGCAAGGGCCTCGGCGGTGGGGAGGTGTGGGTCAGCAGGGAGAGCTGGCATGGTTGGGGGTTGGGACAGCTTCCCTGAGGAGGCTGGGCTCGGGCTGTGCCCAGCAGAAGAGGTCAGGACCCTCCTGTGTCTGAGAAAACTGTGTGTGAGAGCCCTGAGCGGGGAAGCTGGGGAGCCTCACATGCGCTGGCCTCCTCCCATGATCCAGGCACAGAAAAGGGGTCCCCACTCATCATCTTGGTCACTGATAGCCTTTCTAGGCAGGCAGCCTCCACCCCCTGCTTTGGATGAGGAGAGAGAGGGTCAGGGCTGTGATGACTGCCTGAGGTCACCCAGCTTGCGGTGAAGTGCAGAGAGGGCTGTGAACCCTGGTTCCCCCTCACCCACATGCACACTATGCACACCAGCACACACGGACTCTTGCACATGCAAATGCGAAGACACACACACACTCTCAGACACATGTGCACACACAGTGCAATACATGCACACACACACACAGGCACGTGTCCGCACATAGCCACACCCACTCAGACACATGCACACACAGGCAGCACACACAAATGTGTCCATGTGCACACTTCCACACACACACACGAGATCCATGGTGCCCCCAGGACCCGTCCCCGGCATGCTCTCTCGCTCACTGGTCTCACTGAGGGTGACATCTGGGTCAGGAGCTCCCTGGGGGACCTTCTCACTGTCTCCGTGGCCCTGGCTCACAGGGTAGCTGGGTCTTTGTTGGTGTCCACAGGGAGCATGGACAGGCCCCTCCAGGTCAGGATGGAGCAGGAAGCACCCTGGTTTGTCCCTGTGTCTCCGTGTCCAGTCCTGCCCGGGGACTGGCCCTGCTTCCTGCCAGTCTCAGCCCTCATCTGGGCCAGCAGGCCCTGCCTCATTACCCACTAACACCCTGTGGCCTGGAGCAGAGACGCCCAGGTCCTTGTCGGCTGAGAACGAGGCTGGGGCCTCCACTCCCAGCCCCTGAGTCTCCTCCGGGTCTCCTTTTTCTTTGCAAGCTGGGGAGAGCACCTGAGTTAGTTCCCGGGGCTGTGGTACAAAGCACCACAGGCTGGGTGGCCGAGACAACACAGATGGGTCCCCACAGTCCTGGAGGTGGGACCCCAGATCAAGGTGTCCCTCCTGGGGGGACCTGCAGATGCCACCTTCTCCCTGCTTCCTCATGTGGTCGTCCTTCTGAGTGTGCCTGTGTCCCCATCGCCTCTTCTTATAAGGACACCAGACATCCTGGATCAGGGTCCACCCCAGTGACTTCAGCTTACCTTCACTGCCTATTTAAAGACCCTATCTCCCAATATGGTCCCATTCTGAGGTCCTGGGGGGCAGGACTTGCACAGAGAAATTTCTGGGGCACTTGATTGAGTTCATAAACCCCTCCTCCTCCAGGTTTGCGGAACTGCCTGCTCCACTTCCCAGCAGCCGGGCAGAGACTCTTGTGG